>NC_000003.12:131584361-131735877 GCF_000001405.40 Homo sapiens | reverse complement strand
AAAAATAGAGGCAGGGTCTATGGAAATTGGGCAAAATACCAAATGCATTCATAGGTGTCTCATTTGTTTATTAATTTAATATAATAAAAAATACTGAACAAACAGTATGTTGTTGGCACTTTGCCAAGCATGGAGTATGAAGTCAACTTGCCCCACTTGTATTTTAACTTCTTTGTTCTCAGAGAAAATGCCTCTAAAACATGTAATAGAGATGTATATTTTCTTAACACTTCAATGCAAACTTCTTAAAATGTCTTTGGTTGGATATTAATATATGTATTTCATGACAGAGAAAGAGAGGGCTAAACAAGTTTGGAAAATATTAGAAAACCTAACACATTTATTTGCTGCAGAACTCTTTAAGACTCTTTAACATTGTTCTGCATGATGAGTTCCTAAGGGAAGGGTACAGTGGGAAGGGTTCTCAAACCTTATTTGACTGCAGAACAGTTTACTTTCTGGAGCTGCCTGTAGAGCTAGTGTTCATGAAACATGCTTCAGGAAATGCTGCTTTAAAGTATTAATCATCACATTTAGAGGACATGCAGTAATGTCTGATGATAATGCTCTGCTATGTGAGCCCACCATCTCAGTCTGGAGAGGTGTGAGGTCCTCTCTGACTGATGTTTTTGCAGTAGGGTTCCTGGGCTAACTCATTTCCTGGCATGGCCTAGTTCCATAGGGTTGCTTTTTTAGGAAACTGTTTTTTTAGAATTTTGTTTCAGATGTTGTGAGGGAAAGGCCTTACTAACAAAACCACAATGAAAGCCTGAATGTATGTATGTGTATGTTTATGTTTAAACCCTGATGCTGAAGTGCTGGGCCCTAGACCTTGTAGGCACGCTGTGCAAGAAGCTGTGAAATAAGCAGTTTGGTGTGGTGAGATGAGAACTGCACCAGGAATCAGGTGATATAGCTAGATTCATACCTCAACTGCCAGAGTAGTTACAGAAATTTGAGAGTGTCTTTTTTTGGGGGGCAGGGGAGGGACAGGGTTTCACTCCTGTTGCCCAGGCTGGAGTGCCTCAGTGCGTTCATGGCTCACTGCAGCCTCGACTCCCTGGGATCAGGTGATTCTCCCACCTCAACCTCCTGAGTAGCAGGGACTACAAGAGTGTGCCACTATGCCTGGCTAATTTTTTGTATTGTGTTTCTAGTAGAGACAAGGTCTCGCTATTTGTCCAGGCTGGTCTTGAACTCCTGGGCTCAAGGGATCTGGCTGCCTCGGCCTCCCAAAGTGCTGGGATTACAGGTGTGAGTCACTGCATGGCCTGAGAGTGTCATTTTAATATCTATGGACCTACTCCATATTCCTCTACTAAAAATTAAACCTCAGGAATAGATGAGGAATGACATACATGTGACACAGGAGATACTCCTACTCCTCCTATATTCAAGGCGGGCATTGCTAAGTGATCATTCTTCTCACTAAATTCAGAGACAGCTTCAGATATGTTCCCAACACCACATTTCCACCAATCCCTCAATTGAGAGACAGGATGAAACCCACTGCCATTCCTATCCTTAATGTTCTCTAAGAATTTAAGATCCAAGGTTACCGCTATCAAGAACATACATCTACAATCCTACCTTTTTCATGGTAAGAGCAAAGTGTTATGGAGGGGTGACTGCCTCCTGATTTACAACAAAGTGCCATGGGAAAGAGAAGTGGGCATAGGGTGAAGGGCTCCTCCCTAACCAGTGGCATTTGGAGAAGGTCCACTTGGATCAGGGGACTAATTCACAATTTGGTCAATTGGGAATTGACTAATAAGCAGGACAAAAATTTATGATTCTAAAGGACTTGGTGAAGGAGAGGGAGTTGGAACCCGAGGAAGCTGATCCCAAGCTTCAGGGCAACCCCCATCACTTCACCCTTCCTTGGAACACCTATCGTGAGGAGGGTTGAGGCAGGCCTCAGCAAGGCCACCTTCCCAATCTGCTGGCTGCTGAGCATGTCAGACCTGGGGTGCATATGCAGCATCCCGCAGATGAGTTCCTCTTCACTATTTTTAAACATCAATTAATAAGAAAACCAAGGCTCTCCATCCTCGGGTGACCTCTCTGGAGGACTCCACAGCTGTAACAGAGAAATGAGATGGTGGGAACATCCTGTTAATAACCAACATCTGAGTGAAGTGAAAATTGCTTTACACTTGTGTGGGATTAGACTCCTAGCTTCTATAAACTGAGGATCTGACAGTCACTGCAAGTTCGAGTGACTGCAATCCAACACCTTCCTGCTCCCAATCTTGGCAGGCTCTGCCTGCTTTTAGCAGGCAGGCATGAATTTTGTGAGGCAGTTTCTGATTGCTTGATATTTATGTGCCAGCTTACAGCTGGAGTTGGGGGGTATACGGCAGTTGATTTAGGACTGAAAAACATCTTCTATGTTATAGAATCATATCTTGTCCTCTGGCCTGGAACATTTTGATTTCTCATGAGATATTCTAGGGGGGCTTTAGCCAAGTGGAAGGAACTTAAAGAGCAAAATATAACAAGAGGAGGAAGAGAAAGTTTGAAGATTGGTAAACACTGTGCTGGACACTCAACAGTCACACTGAAGAGACTTTTCAGGGTTTGTTGCCCAGACGATGGTGTTTGGAGCATTGAGCATTCTGAATGGCCCCACTTGAAAAATTGCTGTGGTCAGATGGTACCTGAATATATTTGTCTTCTTCAAGAGAGGTGCTATGTCATGGGAAACAGCTTTAAGGGAAATCTCAAGTAGTTCCATCACTCGACAGCTGGGTGACCTTAGGCAAGTTAACCTTTTTGGTTCTAAGTTTCCTCATGTGTAAAACAGTAAGTCATAATATATAGTTGTTGGGATGATTAAGTGGAATAAGGTATGTAAAGTGGTTTAAATAATTCTTGGTGCATACCCATTGCTCAGTAAATGCTCCTTATGATCCATTGTTGAGTAACATTGGGAAATATGGTGTTGTCACTAACAGGAAGTTACCACAAAAATCACATATGGATTACAAGTTTTCAAAGTTTTAAAAGCCCATAATTCATTAATCATGAACCATCAGAATGGACACAATTTCACCTGCCCTTGAGATTTAGAAGCTCTTCCAGGTTCTGTAATATCTTGAAACATTTTTAAGAGCATTAAGGAATCAATCAAAGTTCCAGCAGAAAAAGAGATGTTCATGAAGGGACCGCTTCAAGATGTGTGGGCAAGGTTAAAGGAACCAGCAAGAGACTCTGAGATGCCCTGGGACTAGCAATAGTCAGAAGCTACTATTAGAGGGACTTGGTGGGCAGACAGCGGTGGCAGTGTTACTGGAACCCAGGGAGAGCTGGAGCTTTGCAGGAAGGGCGGCTAGGAGGGCCTGTAGACAGAGGGTACACCATGGGTTCCTCCTGTCTTCTAGTCTCCTACTGGTGCTTTCCATTGGCTGAAAGAAGGTGAGCTGGGCCAAGAAACCTGAATGAAACAATCCACATGTGGGCTGGTCTCCTGGTACATAGCAGAGCAGAAAGACCTGGGGATGTAAAGGAGAATGGATACCATATTCACTAACTCTTGTTTCACAAATAGGGAGTGTGCCAGTTAATGGAGTGCTTGATTGGATAAAACATCCAAATAAACCAACTTTGCCCATAATACGATTATTTCTTTCATTCATTCCTTATGTCCTATAGTGACATAAGCAGCAGTCAAAATGGCAGCTTTCAAAGAAGCAGGAAAGTATTAGCATATAAGGTCTGATCCAGAGGTTGGGGTGTGGTATTCAGAGTAGATCACACACTAGCCCTGGTTCCTGGTTGTCATCCACTTTGGAGCTGAGCCATAACAGTTGGAATATAGTATTATTGGTTCTACAACTTAACTGTGCATTGGAATCACCTGGGTAGATTTTTAAATTGCTGATGCATTGGTTCCCCGCCACCCCCACACAGTTTCCAAATTAATTGGTTTGGAGATCCCCAGGTGGTTTCGATGCAAGAAAAGTTTGAGAATTACTAGTATATATGTTGACATCACCTGGGAATCTCCAGGCCAATTAAATGTGTGTGTATTATACAGGATTTCACTAAACTACAGCAAGATAGAGCTGGCACAGGCTAGAACAGTACTGTCCCCATGTGGCTATTTAAATTTAAATTTAAAATTCCATTCTTCAGTCCCACTAGCCACATTTCAAGTGCTGAATACCTACATGTGGCTAGTTTGGACCATGAAGAACATCATGGAAAGTTCTATCACACAGCACTAGGACAGTGACAAACCCCTCAAGCTGAGTGGACTGGGGCAAAAGACAATGAGGCATACAAACCGAGAAATCAGAAAACAGCCTCACAAACTGGACACTCACACTGGGGAAAAGGAACAGCTATAGAGGACACGCAGCATTTGGCACTGGAAGATGTAGCTGAGATCTACGCTTCTGTGGCAAATCAGGCAGGATTTGCTCATGCTCTGTGTGGATGGAGCCAGCAGCTTGAAGGTACTGAGGAGGCCAACGAAGGAAGGGGAAGACCCAGAACATATTAGCACTTGAGACCTCTCTGATGGTGCCTACGGGGGATACTCATTTCATTTACTTCTGAGCCACATTCCTAAGCAAGGATGCAACCCTGCTGTCTGCTTTGAATAGCATAAGTACCAGGCTATGTCTACTGGTGAAACGAATGTCTAGCTCTAGGTTCTCCGGCATGTTCATCCCAGGGGATCCATAAGCAGAACCCAGTGTGCCAGAGGCCCTGTTACTTGAGAACCAGGTTAACTGCATGGCAGGAGGATGAAGGCAGGGTTCAATGGATTGAAAGTGGGAGAAAGACACTTGTCATGCTGGATCACTCGTTCAGTTTAATCTGGAGTATTTGAAGGTTTTACTGCTTGATGGGTGAAGAGTGCTTTTTTGGAGATATATCCATTAAGTGGTGCTGCCAGTCTGGATGTTTCTTAAGTAGAATGGTGTATTTGTTTACCAGGGTTGCCATAGCAAAGTACCATAAACTGGGTGGCTTAAACAACAGAAATTTATTCCTTCACAGTTCTGGAGGCTAGAAGTCCAAGATCAAGACATCAGAATGTCAGCAGAACTGGTTCTCTCTGGGGTTACTAGGAAGAAATTGCTTAATGCTCCTCTCCTGGCTTTTGGTAGTTTTGCTGGAAATCTTTGGCATTTCTTGGCTTGTGCTGAGGAACAAGAGATTGCACCACTCTGCTCTCTTCCTTTGTGTTCACATGGCATTCTCCCTGTGTTCATGTCTGTGTCAAAATTTCCCATTTTTATAAGGACATTAGTCATATCAAATCAGAAACCGACCATACTCCAGTATGACCTTATCCTAAGTTAATTACTTCTGCCACAATCCTATTTCCATATGAAGTCACATTCTAAGATACTGGTATATGAATTTTGAGGGATAAAACTCAACCTATAACAAATGACATAGTATAATAAAAAGAGCATATATTCTAGAGTGAGAAAGACTGGAGTTGAGTCTTACCTTTGCCACTACTTTTCTGATACACAGTTTTATTTTATCATTTGCAAAGTTAGAATGATATATTTAATAGGATCATTTGTAAAATTATAAATCAGTGTTAAAATGAACCATTATTTTTATGTTTCCCTAGGAAAGAAAAAAATTGTTTCCAATTATACTATGACATATCAATTATAATATGCATCCCAATTTCAAAGATATTCCAATTAAACAATATATCATCAATTACAACATGCATCCCAATTTCAGAGATATTCCAATTAAACAATGGTATATCATTAATTATAACATGCACTCCAATTTCAAATATATTCCAATTAAACAATGGCATATAATTAAAACACACATACCAATTTCAAATATATCAAACTGTGAAATAAAAGTATGTTTTAAAGTTGATGAGGGTAAGGCTTGAAGAAGATAACATGTAAGTGCCTTCTGCCTGAGCAGAAAAGTTACCATCACTGTCGGTCACCACCTAATTTGCCATCCATTTCAAGAAGGAATTTAATAATTTACTAGGCAGGAGGCAGCTTCCACCCAAGTTGTTAAGGAGAAACAAAGGCTGTCAAATACTCAGGCATTTTTTTAGTCCTAGGAACTAGTGAGCAGGAACCCCTGGTCCATGTGGCAGATCAGCCAGACAGCCAGAAATGATGCAACCTCAGTATGTAGACATATCACACAGAAATGGCACAAATCAATTCAAGTTTCCACATGAGACTTTTTACACAACCAGCAAACTGTTAAGGAGTTTTAATCCTAACAAAGTAGAAAATCCATTTAAATTGAAAATTAAAACCATGTCTCATCAGCACCAACCTATCTCTCTCTGTTGAGTGATTTTGAGATCTGCAACTTGTTTGTTGCAGCTACAGAACAAGCCACTAACTCTGAGGCCAGTCACTTAAAATCAGCAGTCACAAGCAGCTGAAATCCTGAAATTGAATAATGCTATTTCTGGTGGCTTGGTGATTCATTTTATTATCTAACTTTTGTGTGGTTTAATATGTCTCCTTGGAAGTTACATGGTTTGAAAAATTGCCTGTAATAAATCCTTTATTTTTAAACATAAAGCCATTCTTTATTCAGAGAAAATTAGTTTCTCCCTACCCTCACTAAATAAATATTGACAAAATATTTAAAGAATATCAGTTTGAAGGAATACCTAATTATAAGCCTGCCCTGAGGGCCTCTTGTCTCTCTCTGGCCTATGATGTCATTCTTTACCAAGACCTATTACCCATGGGATGATAAGGGCCTGAATTTCTCCAGGAAACCTTAGAGCATTCAGTGACTGACAATAATTTTGGCTTTTGCCTTCACCTCCTCCCCACTGATAGCATCACACGATTTAGCTCTCACCTCTCCCGCAACTTTGCCTGTGGCAGTTCCAGCCCTTGGAAGTCCCAGAGAATAGATGGCCATTGTACAAATAGTCTTGAATTGTTTGTTGATGACACATTGCCCCGCACACAAGCCAATTTTTTTTTTTTTTTTTTTTTTTTTGAGGCTCTGTTGCCCAGGCTGGAGTGCAGTGGCCTGATCTCTGTTCACTGCAAGCTCCGCCTCCCGGGTTCACGCCATTCTCCCGCCTCAGCCTCCCGAGTAGCTGGGACTACAGGCGCCTGCCACCACGACCGGCTAATTTTTTTTTTTGTAAGTAGAGACGGGGTTTCACCATGTTAGCCAGGATGGTCTCCATCTCCTGACCTCGTGATCCGCCCGCCTCGGCCTCCCAAAGTGCTGGGATTATAGGCGTGAGCCACTGCGCCCGGCCACACAATCCAATTTCTATGGGCAGTGTTTAGGGCCCCCACTGTATCTCAAATATGTCCAGTGGATAAATCAGATCTCCAGAGACACAACTGCAGCCTCAATCATTGACTTTCCCTATCAGTTCCACATTTTATGTTTGTCGTCTGGATGATGCATTACTTTGAGCAACAGTGTTTATGAAAAAATGCTTCAAATTTGCATAACTATATAGCATAGAGGTTAAACACACAGGTTCTGGAGCTTAACTACATAGGTTCACATCCCACCTCTGCTACCTACAAGTTGTGTAAAATCGGAAAAGTTATGGCGGTCTCTCTATCTCCCAGTAAGAGAGGATAATAACAGTACCTACCTCATATTGTTATAAGAATGAAAACAGAGTGCTTGTCAAAAGATTTGAAAAGCTGCTTCATCAAAGAAGATACACAGGTGGCAAGTAAGCATACGAAAAGAGCCTCAGCATCATTAGTTTTAGGAAAACGAAAATTAAAACCACAATGAGAGACCACTCCACACCTACTAGAACTTAAAAAGTTAAGCAAAAATCTCTTTCACTCCTACATATTTACCCAAAAGAAGAGGAAATACATGCCCATACAAAGGATTGTACATGAATATGTCATGCAGTTTTATATGTAATAGCCAAAAACTGTAAACAATTCAAATGTCCATCTGTAATTGACTGGGGGCAATAAAAGGATAAACTACTGATAGGACCACATGAATAAATCTCAAAATAATTGCGTGAAAGATTAAAGACAATAAAAGACCACAGATTATGATATACATTTATATAATATTATAAAGAATACAAACTAGACTGTAGTCTCAGAAAGCAGATCAGTAGTTTCTTGGGAATGGAAGGAGGGAAGGTTGAGAGGATGAGGATACATAGGAGTAAGAGAAAAATTTGGGTGCATGGATATGCTCACTCTCTTGATTGTGGTGATGTTTTCACAAGTATATATGTGTCAAAACATATTGAATTGTATACTTTAAATAGATATATACTTTAAATAGATGTGGTTTATTATATGCAAATTATGCCTCAATAATGCTGTTTTTTTTAAATGAGCACCATGATAGCAGGCCTTCCAAAAGTGTTAGTTGTTATTGACTTTATTATTAGACTGAAAAATGTTTTAGATTTTTTTTTCTTTTTTTTGAGACGGAGTCTTGCTCTGTCGCCCAGGCTGGAGTGCAGTGGCGGGGTTTCACCATGTTAGGCAGGATGGTCTTGATTTCCTGACTTTGTGATCCACCCTCCTCGGCCTCCAAAAGTGCTGGGATTACAGGCTTGAGCCACTGCGCCTGGCCGTGTTTTAGATATTTTTAAAAGCTTCTCATGAGAAGCAATATTCAATGGTTGAGTCTCTCACCATCACACCATAATCTAGCTGCCTTTTTCCTTTCTAAGGATGCTCATGAATTGAGGAAAGTAGTCCAGACTTTGAGGTCAGAAGGCATGAGTTCAAGTGCCCACTCTGACATTCAATACCTTGTGCTGATATTTAACCTTGAGTTTTCTCATTTGTAAAATAGTATACAACTATATCACATGATAGCCATAAGAATCAAATTTTAAAAATGGATGTGAGCATGTTCTGTAAACAATAAAGCAATGTGAATTTATCAGTCATCACGATTAGGGAAGAGAGAAGATAAGCATTCACATTTTTGCAGACTGGATAACAGAGGGTAAGCAAGATTAAAATAAAACTTGACCTCACACAAGAGCATGAGATAGACTCTACATCTCCTCATTTCCCCTAGGACTGATGTTCCCACACCAGAATTCTCTAGAACACTTTTTTAGAGATTTCTGGGTCCTACCATATACTCACTAAATCAGAATGACCTGGGGTTAGGAAACAGGAATCTGAGTTTTAAAGAAAGCCCCCCCGCCCCCCCCAGTTGATTAGGATGCAGCTGGTAGCACCAGTAAGTGAATGATCTTTTGGGAAAAACTGCCTTGACCCTGATGCCTCTCAATGAGAAATGAACAATCCTAGGCCCTGTTGCTCATGTGAAACCTGGATTAGGCACCAGAAAAAAATAATGCATCTTCCATAATAACTGGAAATGCATAATATTTTAAAACATCTTTCAAATATGCATTTATTATTGCAAGCACTTCGCTTATTGTCATTTTCCTGCTTTTCCTGAGCAGTTATATTCAGGATTCTTAGTGGCTTTCTGATTATCCTTGGAAATCGTCTGTCTTGCTAATACAAATGTTTATCACTTAATGTCTTTCCATCTTGTCATTTCGCTCAAAAAACCAAGTCACTCAGTGCTGGCAGCTTACCTTGTATAGTGTGTATGAGGTGTGTGGCTTGATGCCAACATGAACTTTATAAGGGAATGCCACTGGAAAATCAAGAAGTTAGAAGAAAAGTACCAGAATTGGTGCACATCACTTATTTGTGCCCTTTGGGGCAGTTAAAGGAGAATAACAAAGACTAGAGTTTCCATCACCTGTCTTCTATCATCTAAACCTATTCAGCACTCTCTTCCAGCAACAAGGAGAGCAGGTGCCCTTTTTGTGTCTTGAGGATGTCAAATGCACCCACAGCATACTTCTTGGGGTTATTTCCAAATCCTCTATCAAAAGATACAATATAAATATAATTAAATCTCTTATATGGCTCATTATTTCATGAATTTGGACCAGATGTTGCAAAAATGCCTCTAGGGGCCAGGAAGAGAAATTAAATGAAGGAGAAAGGCCTGGAAGTTGCTGTGAGAAGTGAAGAGTAAATGCTTTGTCTAAATGGGACAGTCTCCAATTGTTGCCATGAAGAAATGTGGCCCAAGGTTGCCAGATATTCCAAGTTTTTCTAAAGGAAGGGTAATAAAAACAGCTACCTTATTAAGTGGGAAAATGAAGGGAAAAATACTTTGAGTAGGACAAATAAAGTACCTTCAAGTCAGCTTATCCCTGCAGACTACCAGTTTATGATCTCTAATTTCTATTATTCAAAACTATTATCCCTGAACAACAGAAAAATTATGCTGATATAGTAAATTCTTGTACCTGCACAAATGGCCAGTGGCATAATCAGTCCCATCACCCTCTGAATGAACATCATATAAGAATATAAAATTTAGCTCAAATAGAAGCTGGGTCTTCCTGGGGAAGCTGGAACAGGCAGATAACCTTTGGTCAGAACAGTAACTTGTAAAATTCTAGTCAGCAATGGGCTGGAGATTGGTTTTCTGTATGCCTATTTATTGGATGGGGACATAATCAGAATCATACTCTTCTCCTTGCAACCCGGATTGTCCATCCAACCAATAATGGCAGGTAGTGTTCCTTAAAGGACAATTTTCTCTCACATACATCCCTGCATAGGAAGGGCTAGGGCTGGAGACAAAGCACTGAACTGAAGAATGTTAGGGGTGGCTAGAACAAATATCAGATTTTCTTTGCTAGGCAACATGGACATGCATAATATGGTTAAGAACTGCTTTCCCTTTATTGAGAGACTATTTTCCTTTACTCATATGAAAGTGAGATAAATGCTTTTCATAGTTTGTGCTAACAAATGTCAGAAAACATCCAATAAACCATATTTCTATTTGAAAGCTGACAGTACATAGAGGTTCCAGTTGATTTGTAAAATAGGAAGGATGGGTATCTCTAGTACAGGGATGCTATAGAATCTTGGGTTATCTATAACTTAGTCTTTAAAAGCTTCCCAAAATATAAATGGTTTTGTATATTTTTACTTGTGACAAGTATGTAGGAAAAGAGCCTTAGCGATAAGGATCCTAGTAGAAAACAGATGGCATACCCAAACAGTTTAACCTAAAGGACTAAACTCTGTACACGGGAATGGGCAGGGTTAAAAGAGCCAAGAAAGAAAGTGAGGCATCCGAGACATCAGAGATAGCAACAACAGGAAGCCATTACTACCCCTCAATGTGAAGGGACAAGAGAGAGGCACTATGTTACCAAATCCCAGCAAAAGCTCCCTGTGCAGAAGGAAGTCTGCTAGCAGAATGTGTGTGTATAGAGGCATGCCTGCACCTCTCTGTTCTCCCATTCTCTGATCTCCTGCGAAGTCCTCCATTTGGCTGACTCCAACCAGAACCCAGAGGGCAAGGGTGCCAGGAAAATCAATCCATAGACATCAGTCTCCTATGTCACAGAATAGTGCAGAAAGTGGCAGAGATGTATTAATATCTGAGAGAGGGGGACAACTGAAAAACTATTATCACAGAAGACAAAGGAAATCATAGCTCATGGAATGTTAGAGCAGAAAGGAACTTTTCAACCTCTAATCTAATTTTCATTTTGTTGATGAGAAAACTGAGGCCCAGGGAATTGAAATGAATGGGTGAACATTATACACTTAATAAAGGGCATACTCGAGACCAAAGGCAGTTATTGTCTTATCTATTCTCATGGTTTTTCTACTTCATTATGCTGGAAATCATGGATTAGGAAACTTAGAGTTGGCTAAAATGAGACACCTACATAGCACTTTCTCCATTACTGTGCCCACCAGACATCACTAATCAATTACAGATTTCTTTCCTCCTGAGCCTAGATGTGACCTCAGGCACATTAGGCAGGACAAGGTTGAATCAATCATGAAATGCATCAATCAATCATTTATGCACCTGCATAAACCCAGTGTACTCAAAAATTTTTACTGTTCATAATGTTCACCCACTCATTTCAATTCCCTGGACCTCAGTTTTCCCATCAACAAAATGACATAATGATATAATGATACAATTTTGTATAATGCAAACTCATACAATGAGCTCTAAATCTTCAAGTTATTTACATGTCTAACATTATTTTCTTCCCTAAAACTCGTCTCATTCTCTGAAGGTATTGCCTGTACTTTGTACTTTTGGACTGCCCACCCAATGACTTGCTGGGGAGCATTTATGGTTGGGAAGAAGGGAAGTGCTCTGAGATGAATTTTCTTGAACGGTAATAATAAAAATAATCCTTATCTCTGATAGGTTTTCTCTTTCTCCTTGCAGGTTGACAGGACTGAGGTGATTCGCACCTGCATAAACCCAGTGTACTCAAAACTGTTTACTGTGGACTTTTACTTTGAGGAGGTGCAGCGCCTGCGGTTTGAAGTCCATGACATCAGCAGCAACCACAATGGGCTGAAGGAGGCCGACTTCCTTGGTGGCATGGAGTGCACACTTGGCCAGGTGGGTCAACAGACATCCCTTCCTCCTCCTTGCCATCCTAGGGCCTTTCTTCCTGCCCCCTTTCCCTCTCTTCCTTCATCTAATCCTTGCTTTTTCCTATTGATTGTATTTTCTTTAACATGCAGCATTTTACAACTTCCCAGGTGGTGTCATATCCATTATGTTTATGTAGAGATGATTCTGCAAGTCTGTACGATTTCTTATTTTGAAAAATTCAGAACTTTCTCTTCTGAATTCCCCCACTGTGTCACTCATTTATTCAACAACTATTATTGAGCACTTATGTGTCTGGCACTATGCTCTTTTCACATGTCTGTTATAGCCTTATCCTGTTTCACTATAAATTTCCATCTCCAACTCAGCTGTGAGAACCCCTATGCAGCAAGTATTTCTCATTCACATTTAGTCGACATCTCTGGTACCAAAAATAGCCCAAGGCAGAGGCTAAATGGATACTCAGTGAATGAATAAAAGCTCTTAATTTTCCAACAATAATATGAAATAAATATCAGTATTATATCCATTTTATCAGTGAGAAACCTGAGACTCAGAGAGGTTAAGTGATTTGATGAAGGCTCTACCTAATAAGTAGCAGTGTTAGGACTCTACTAGGTCTTCCTGACTCTAAACTTCATCATTTTGCTTCTGTAATACTTTTCCTTTTTTCCTTTCCTTTTTGTTGTACCCAGAAATGCAGTAAGTGAGTCAAAAAGTAAAAACAGTCCCTGTGCCCAGATAGTGGATAATCTTACTGGAGAAGGCATAGTAATATGCACTTCAAATAGAGCAGTTCATTACAAAATACCCTGGGCTCTCTATACAAGGTCGTAGACCTTAAAGGAAGAGAGAGCTTTTTTCTACTGGGTAGAGTCAAAGAAGGCATTGTGGCACCAAAATCTGAAAAAAACATTATCTAGGGATTGCAGAAGAAAGAGGAGGGGAGACTTCCAAGTAAGAAAGCAATATAAGCAACTCATAGGGGTCAGAACAAACGTGGGGGGGTATGGGGTGGGAAGAGACCACTTTCCCTGACTGAATCAAGATGCTGATTTACTGTGAAATTGATGAAGCTTTAACATCAGATCCCCTCTCTCATGTGGGCCCCTTCCATGGCTCTGTGTCACATTTTTATTTTGTACTTTTTTTCTCAAAGAGAGATTCCAAATTATATGTCTTAAGACCCACAAAATCTGGGTTCACCTCCTGTCAAGGTAAGGGTCAGGTTTAAGGATTTGTCAGGAAGAGTCTACCTGACAAAGAGATGGCAAGCATATATATTTGCTTGTTCATTTGTGCTTACCTTGCTTCATGCCACTTATCACTAAAAGAAATTTCTCCCAGTGAGCACTAAGAGACAAAATAGACAGTGTCCTCTGTTCCCCTTTTCCAGAAAATATAGTGATTAATTTTCTTATTCCTTTAATGAAAGTCAAAAGCCCAATACTGAAATACAGTTGAGGGGAGACAGAAAGAGAATCTGAAATATTCTCCATTAACATATGTTCTCTAATGACTTTTGAAGAGTTGATGGCAGATAGTTCAAAGGATCTTGCCAGGTACAATGTCCACTAAGTAGGTATTAAATGAATAAATGCATTGTGGATTTGAGATGAAATCCTGTTTCTATTTAAAAATGATTAAAATGGCATCTTTTATAGACATGTAAGCCATGCCAAGATTCTCCCTTAAACAATGGGCATCCCTCCTATGCATAAATTTTATATTTTGTCACAAGAAATAAAGGTAGATCCGGCCAGGCGCGGTGGCTCACACCAGTAATCCTAGCACTTTGGGAAGCCAAGGAGGGCAGATCACGAGGCCAGGAGATCGAGACCATCCTGGATAACACGGTGAAACCCCGTCTCTACTAAAAATACAAAAAAATAGCCGGGTGTGGTGGCAGGTGCCTATAGTCCCAGCTACTCGTGAGGCTGAGGCAGGAGGATGGCGTGAACCCGGAAGGCGGAGCTTGCAGTGAGCCGAGATCGTGCCAGTGCGCTCCAGCCTGGGTGACAGAGCAAGACTCCGTCTCAAAAAAAAAAAAAAAGGTAGATCCGTGTGGGAATCATGTGGACTAAAGATCTTTTTTTTTTTTTTTTTTTGGTCCAAAGCTTTGATAATTTTATCTGTTTGAATGACCCTCAAACTCAAATCTTTAGTCCCTCACAAGGCTCATCTTTCCAAAAGCCAGTAAGTCCTTAACCTTGCAAGTAAGACAGGCATTATGCTAGGTGCCAGTGACACTGTGGTGAGCCAAAAAACATAATCCTTGCCTTCAAGCAGCAGTTTAGTTGGGGATAAAGATGGAATGAAAATAATTACACAACAATTAATTAAATGGCGATTATCATAAGCTTTGTTACAGAGAAGTACAGAATAAGAGAGCAAGCATTGGGAGACTGGCATCAGGCAGAGAGAGGGATCAAATAAGGCTTTCTAAGAGAAGTGACATTTATACTGACTTGAAGGGAGAGTGAGAGTGCATCAGGTGAGAAGAAAGAGAAACACATTCTAAGCAGATGGGAACATTATACACAAAGCCTCTGTATTCAGGAAGGAGTTTGGCATATGGTGCAGAGCATCTTCATTTGGTTTTTCCAAGAAGCCAAATCTGAGGTAAGAAGTCAAAGGAGGTGAAGGAAACGCCATAGTGGAGAGGAAAAGTGAGACAGGATAAGCAGCCTACAAGGGAAAGTGGTCAAGTAGATACCACCGTACGTAACTGGAGCTTAACTCTGCTGGGGAAATTCTGAGAGCAGTGTAATGCAAACATTACAGATATTTCATCCTGTGGATGAGGGAACTGGGACATTTATACACTTTGTGTATATATACTCACATCAGCCATGAAGAACCATTCCTAGCCGGGCGCGGTGGCTCACGCCTGTAATCCCAGCACTTTGGGAAGCCGAGGCAGGCGGATCACAAGGTCAGGAGATCGAGACCATCCTGGCTAACACGGTGAAACCCCATCTCTACTAAAAATGCAAAAAATTAGCTGGGCGTGGTGGTGCATGCCTGTAGTCCCAGCTACTCGGGAGGCTGAGGCAGGAGAATCACTTGAACCCAGGAGGCAGAGGTTGCATTGAGCCGAGATCATGCCACTGCACTCCAGCCTGGGTGACAGTGAGACTCCGTCTCAAAAAAAAAAAAAAAAAAAACCCATTCCTGTTCCTAAGGTGGGAACATTAATCCTCCAGTCCTCCAACATTTCTGGCCTACTGTGCAGGTAGCAAACTCCAAATATCACAAAGAGCTTGCAAGCAAAGAAATACAGATGCCGGTGGTCAAAGTCAGTGATGGGCACTCAAGTCATAGGGCCTGGGAACATGAGTGGGGAGCTGACAGCATCTGTGGATTGCCTATTTAATACCCAATCACCCACTCTTGTAGCTGTTGACTCTGATCACTTTCTGATCATTTTATACCATCTGTCTATGTAGAAAAGAGCCCTATCCCTAGCTCAAGAGTGAATCCTGAGTGATCTCAGCTAATCACATGAATCTCATCACCCACTTGCAAGAGTTTGGTTTAGAGGTAGGCGTGTGTCCAGTAAGACATGTGGATTTTTCTTGGAAAGGTTTCCTAGCCTAAAACAAGAGACACGCATGAAGAAACAGTTCTTCTTTGCCTGTGATTCCTGGAACCACTACAGCCATCTTGCAGCAAGGCTGAGGATGAGAGTGACCCTTAGGGGAGGTCAGACCCAAAAGATGTGGAGGGATGGGCCTGACATTCTTTACCTGGGACCCACTCTATCTATGGATGCCTTATTATGGGAAAATAAAATGTCCTGTCATTGAAGCTGTTTGACATGGGAATTTTTATTCCTTGAACTGAAAATATCATGATGGAGATAGCACATATGAGGAACTAAAAAGAAGGACAGGCTGGCTGGAGTGGGGTGAACAAAGGGAAACTAGGGGGTTGTGTTGGATTAATTTTCTTAATCTTTCAAAAGAAGGAATGTGTGGAAGTGAGCACTGAGAATGAGATTACAAATAGTCCTTTCAAGATACGTTTTTGGTACTTTTGAAAGAACTTATATACTGATCATTTCATTTGACCCTCTTGACAGCCTGGGAAGGACAGGAATCATTATCTACATTTTATAACTGAGGAAACTGAAGATCAGAAAGATTTAATGTCTTGACAGGGCCTAAACTGGAAGTCAGGAGCTTTTGATTCTTAATCCAGAGCTTGCTTCTGTCATGACCTAGGGAAGGATGAGAGGAGGTCACCTGTTCTGAGAACTCCTTCAAGATCATGGCCTAGATGAAGCAAATGAGCAGCAAGTGACTTGTTCAGTGTATCTCTAAACCATGTTTCCCAAACTGTACTGATCCACTTTGAGGTGACATGCTGGCCTCTCTGGATATCTCGCATGTTCTTTGGCAACCACCCTCTCATATTGTCAGCCAGGTGATTGGTGGGGTTGGCCTTTCCCACACTTTTGGGTAGGCACAGAATATTACATTTGTGTGGCCACAGTGATTGGCTCAAGGAAAGACATGATGACTCCTTTAACACTATAGATTTCATTCATTCGTTTATTTCTTCTTTTAATGACATAGCAATTGCATGCCAAGCTTTCATAACAAACGTTTAGCAAGCACCCTGGATATGCCAAGTATACCTGGCTGGGTGCTGGAGACACAAAGATGAAAAAGGAAGACAGAGGCCCTGCCTCAGAAAAGCTTATAATTATCTGAGAAACACAGACTGGTAAATAAATACTCAAAATGCATATTACTAAGCACTACAATAGAAATGTGAATCCAAGGGCTGTAGGGGAAAGACCTCTACCTAAAGTGAAGCAGGGGAGTCTCACAGGAAAGGTGTCTCTGGATCTGAATCCCTAAGGATAAGTAGGAATTCACCAACAGAGAAAAGAAATAAGGACTCTTGGGACAAAATGACTGGTACACGCAAAGACACAGCAGCATGAAGGGAACGACAGAGAACTCTTAAGTGACTTAGCGTGGGTGAGCGGTCAAGTGAGGATGTGAAAAGGATAGAGGATGCCAGATAGAAAAGAAAAAGCCTGGTCCTGATGCTTTTAAGTGTTTTTCTCTAAACTTTAGAGAGACTGGACTTGATGCACTGAGGTCCTAACTGGGGAAAGGACAAGATTGGATGTGTATATTAGAAAGATCACTTTGGCCGGGTGCAGTGGCTCACGCCTGTAATCCAAGCACGCTGAGGCTGGCAGATCATGAGGTCAGGAGTTTGAGACCAGCCTGGACAACATAGTGAAACCCATCTCTACTAAAAATACAAAATATTAGCCAGGCATGGTGGCAGGCGCCTGTAATTCCAGCTACTTGAAAGGCTGAGGCAGGAGAATTGCTTGAACCCGGGAGGCAGAGGTTGCAGTTAGCCGAGATCATGCCCAGCCCAGGCAACAGTGCAATACTCTGTCTCAAAAGAAAGAAAGAAAGAGAGAGAGACAGAGAGAGAGAGAGAGACAGAGAGAGAGAAAGAAAGAGAGAAAGAAAGAAAAGAAAGAAAGAAAGAAAGAAAGAAAGAAAGAAAGAAAGAAAGAAAGAAAGAAAGAAAGAAAGAAAGAAAAGAAAGAAAGAAAGGAGGGAGCGAGGAAGGAAGGAAGGAAGGAAGAAAGATCACTTTGGCATTCCCCATAAACGGTGGATGGCAGGGAAACCAATTAGGATACTAGTGCAATAACAGGAAGGAAATGCGGGCGGCAGTAGTTATGTAAACTGAAAAGAGGGGGCCAGAAAAGAGCCTGTCCAAGAGCAGAATCAACAAGCCTTGGAGATGAGGTGAGGGAGGCGGAGTTTGCAGGTGTCTGGCTTAGCTAACTGGGGGAGCGATTTGGCTGTCTTTAAGGGGAAATCAATCTTGCCCAGGATGGGGGTGAGGAATATAACATGATGCTGGCCTATTAAATGCAGATATCTGTGGAGAATTCAGAGGAGGGTGACAATCGGCAGCTGACATGAATATAGAATAGACAATATAGATGTGGGAGCTTAATCCCTATAGGTGATAGCTGCTAATATTAGAGTGGATGAGATTCTTCGAGGAGGCTGTTTTATCTTTACTTTTGAAAGGAAATTTTTTGAACGTGCCATATATAAACAAATAATAAAGAATTAAAAAATCAAGGCATATGTAAGGACATCTCTTTCCACTTTCAGATAAAAGTGTGAACTCGATGTTGTCTTTAAGAAAAAAAAAAAAAACCTTTGTTGAGTGTTTTTTACATGGAGTAATATGCCAGACAAATGCATTTGTACTAAAAGCTTTGTGAAGGACAGGCAGAACTTTTTACCCTTTGTGGTTTCACAGGTTTTGACACTTTGGCGTGAATGGGGGTTTTGCTCTTTTCGCTAAATTGCTCCTCTCCAGTATGATCAAGCAAAAAGAAAAAACATCAACATTTTCCTTCTTTAAAACTCCAGAGTAAAAAGAAGGTCCTTCTTCCTGTGTTCTGCCTAGATAGGCAAGGAATGGCTAGATGCAGATGTTGGGCACCCCCGGGCAGGGCAGGGTCAGAGTCTGAGGCACTGTTTCCTAGTGCTGACGTGTACATGGTGTGGGGTCTGATGGTCTGGGGTCAAATCCCAGCTCAGCTGCTCTCAACTTGTTTGTCCAGAGGCAAATTCTTGCAGCCACTTAAGCCTCAGTTTCTTCATTTGAAAAATGGAAATAATAATAGTGCTGACTTCAAGAAAAATTGCAAGGATCAAGTAGAATAATGCACATAAAATGCTTAACAGAGCCCCCGGCATGGAGGGAGCACTCGGGATGGGGAAGCTGTTATTACTGTGGCAAGAATCTAGGAAATGATGGGAAGAGGCAATGCTTGTAGAGACCAACATGTTTTCAGAACAAAGGGGGAAACATACAGCGTGAAAACATTGTGAGAGAGCACCTACGTCCTGGGCGAGTATAATAGTAAAACTGAACTTACATTGCTCAGGTTTGTCAAGTATTTTACTGAGTTGGATTTTAAATATTGTGTGTGTACACACACGTACACGTGTATTTATTCTTCTGATACTATTTTTAAGTAAAAATTGTTTTAAATCAGGTCTCTGAAATAATTTGGGGCAATTATTTTAATTTGGGCCTTAACTGTGGCAAGATAGGGATTGCCACAGTTAAGGCCCTAAAGGAAAGATAAAGTGACTTCCCCAAAGCCACACAGGAACTCACACATTCAGAGTCTGCCTCCTGAAGGCTGCTGTAGTACTCGCTCTGTCTGGCTGAGTTTGCCACATTCTCACTCAGCCTTGTGAAACAGCAGGACTCCTGGCCTTTAGGAAAGGAAAATAGAAGCCTTAAGCATGCTAGAAACTGGCATTGGTCATAAAGCTGAGTATAAGCACAGCAAGTGACTTCACACTGAGCAAAAATGCCAAATAAAGCAAAGAAGGCTGAGGTCCTCAGGGAAACTCAAGGAGAATTGACCATTCTTGACAGATGGATGAGGGGGATGCATCACGAGGACATAGGGTACTCAGAAGCTGCCTCTTTCTGGGTAAGTTTTGAGACCTTCCTTAGATTTCTGTTGCCCAAAAGAAATCAAGGAGCTAAGCCCCTCTTCTGCTACATCCAATAGTGGGTACGCCAAAGAGAGATGTGATCCTTCACTGCCTAGAACAGCAAGCTGACCTTCTTTAATGTGATGCATTTATTTTCTCTTTCACTGCTTATTAACTCATTCATTCATCCTCATATTTTCCCACTTCATCCACCAAAGACAGTGGAACTGAGTCATAAATAAGAAAAATAATTAAAGAAATTTTTAAACTCCAGGCACTTTTATTTAGTAGGCACTGGGTGAAGCTGTTGCTATACTGCACTTCATTTAATCAGCACAACATCCCTGAGAGGTAGGCACTACCATTATTACCATTTTACAGCTGAGGAAACTGAGACTGAGTAAAGCTCAGTAAGTTATCCAAGGTCACACAGCAAGTTGTCGATCTCTTTAGCTCCAAAGCCCTGTATAATCTTTTCCATCTATTCTAATAGCTTGTCACTAACTAGTATAAATGATCAAGTAGCATCTATGAATGCAAAGTCAAATTGGAGTTGACCTGGCTAGTTTTTGGTGTCTTGTTTCTTCTTAAGTTTATTTGTCTTACACAGAGCTGATAGAGGCAGACTAGGAATCCTTTTGCAGATAAATGGGCTTGATCATCTTCCCTCTGGGCTTCTCTACTGAATTTACTTTAAATATAATATGGCTTCTTAAAAAATGGCAGTGTGTCAACCTCCGAAAACCAAAATCTTACAAACTCAGCACCCAGAAGGTGCATTGCTCTGGCCTTCCTTTCATCTTCAACCATGATGAAAAATCCCTTATCAAAATTCAGTGGTTGCACCTGGGTTTCATCATTGCTTTTCTTGCAGGCATTTTCTCTTCTCAGTGGTTTGGAGACAGTTATGACTGTGTGAAGTCATCTTCTCTTCATTGTTGTGTGGCTGTTCTTCAGTGTATGTCTCCTCCAGAAGTTCAGAGGACACCTGTCAAAGCCAAGAACTTCCTGCTTTCTGTCATCATAAGTGGGGCTGGGAAATCCCTGACACCTTGAAGAAGTCCTGGGCTGTCAGGAGTCCTCTGACCCTTATTCATGAGAGAGAGATTATATACCATCTTCTCTCAGGGCAGTGGTTCCCAAACTTGAGCATGTGGCAGAATCACCTGGAGGCATATTAAAATACAAATTGCTAGGCCTCACCCCCAGAGTTATGATTCAAAAGATCTAGGGAGAGATTCAATAATCTGCATTTTCTAAGTTCCCAGGTGATGCTTATTCTGCAGGTCCAGACATCACACTTTGAGAAGCCCTGCCCCAATGCCTCATGTAAGAGGATGCTAATGAATCTTGGACACTGTATTACTAGTTTCAATCAAGAAAGGAACCAGTGTTTTGGGTAATTATCTGGAGAAATTGAAGAGGACATAGAAAACATCTGGTGAACAGAAAAAAGTTGCTTTATAAAGTTTACACTACAAAAAGGCCAATGTACACAGCTTTCAGTTTATGCTCTTGGTAAAGATTTTGAGTGCCAAAGTTTTTTCTCCCATTCATTAAATGAAGTTAAATGGACTTATTATCCATTGGTTTCCTTCCTGACATAAGTGAATGTTAGGATTATGTCAGGCACAGTGGTCCCTGAAAGAGTGGGCAGACCACAAGCTATTGATCAATGGGTATTAGGTTTAGTGTCGGGATGAGCCAGGTTGCTGAACACTGGGTGTTATGATGATGCTGAGGGTGCTACCCAAACTCAATGTAATGCCCACAGTAAGATTCCACAGGTTAGCATTTTGTTGCATACTATCTAATATCCTCATGGTATAAAATTGATGACCCAGGGAAGTCAAATTTACACATTACAGCAGGGAAGTCATTCTCCTTCTGCTTCTCACATGCAAAGCTTGCCCTTACTTTGCAGAATTACTGCAAGCAGAAGCCACGTGAGTGATGAATGATGTCATAAGTAATCACATCATCTCAGCTCCCGTGGACTAGATAAGAAATCCTGGGAAGTAGTGCCATTTTTTTTTTTACTGCTGTCTTTTCTGCTCATAGGCAGCTGGGATTTAAGTAGGGTGGTTGTGGGTGAGAAGGCCCCATTTCTACAGGGAGAATATAATTAATTCTTGCTCTTTTTTTCTAACTTCTAAACAGGCAAGGAATCATAACTTTGGATCCTAGAAACATCCCTCTGCTTTCTCTGGAGTCCTCCTTTTATACTTTGAAATCTCCTTTAGTGTCCTGGATTGGAGTCATGAGTCCTATGTCTTGATCTGCCATCAACTCTCTGTATGGCCTTGGGCAGTTTGCTTAACCTCTCTGTGATATGGTGACTTCATCTATAGAACAAACATTTTGCATTGATTCATCTCTAAGTTCCTTCCAGTTCTAATAGTCAATGATTCTCATTCATCTCTTTCCTTTTCTTGTTTTCGAAATTCAGCATCTCTCCACACATTCTCATTTCTTTTCAAGACACTCTCTCCCCCTTCCACTACCCTTTCTCATCTCATCTCATCTCAGCATGAAGTATTTATCTCATGTAAAGTCATAGATGTCGTTCAGTCATAGATGGTATCATTCTACCTACCTGGTAGCCCCCAGGAAAACAACTGTATTTAATTTCAAAGATAGTTATAAAAAGATGTATTTAGTGACAATTAACACAGGCCCTTTTCCATATACACTCACATTCATTAGTATGATACTTCTACAAGCTCAATATTGGTGCAGAGGAGGGCAAGAGCTTTGGAGCTGGATGACAATTTGCAAGGACTAGTGTATCAATGCTAAAAAAAAAACAGCTACAGGAGCCTGTCCTGATCCTAATCCTTTAAGCCAGGCTGGTGCAGGGCACCCAGCCCCCAGACCACCCTATCAGTGTGCCCTGGGCCTACCTACTCATCCAGGGAGCCACTTATGCCACCTGGGTTGGCAGGTGGCATAAGGCAGTTTCTCAGGACCTCTCCCACAGCTCCCACTTTTGTTGTTTCCAACCAGCTTTCATTTCAATCCCATTTCCACCAGCTCAGAAGTACTGGCTGTAAATCTAATTTAGATCGCTATCTCCATGGCATTTACACATACTCTTCCAATCATTCAGCCCTTGTGTTTCCCCTACAAATGCTGCCATGCTGCACCTTCTCGATTGTCAGCATCCTGGCTGCTTTAAATAAAAATGTATGTCCTTGTCCTAGCCCTAAAGCATGAAACACTCCAACACTATAAACTGAATTCATAGTATGGCAAACGGCCAGTTTGTTGAAGTCTAATAACCAAAAAGCCAATTCACGAAATAATATATTAACCCCCAAACCAACTCTCTTCCAATTACTTTTATTTACTAAAAACTAGATTTCTTGAACTATTGATAAAGTTTACTACAATTATTTTAGAAGTTGTGAAGATTTCGGGAATATTTGTTGGTTTAGACTGCTTATGAAATTTAGTTATTGGTTATCATGAATGTTTCTGAATATCAAATGTAGCCATTAAAAAGCTAACCTGTCCCAACAGGGGATTAAAAATATGGTCCTAACTATTAAAGTACCCATTTCTTTACAGGCCAAGAGACTGGGAGGATATATTTTTAAATGTTAACGGTGATGACATCTAGGTTGTGGGATTATAGATGATGTAGGAAATTACATCTGTGCTTTTGTATTTCTAAAAGGAAACTATATCACATCTATGATTAGAAAAATATTATAATAAATGTTAGGCAAAACATCATAATAAGACCCGCATGCTGACTTCAAAGAACTCACACTCAGGTGGAGGAGTAAGACACGTAAACATTGTGTAGATTTTTAAACAAATGTGGAAGAACTTTAAAACTTGTAAAGAATTCTAATTTGGGAAATTTACAGGAAATCCTTTTGGGGGAGGCATTTGCTGAAGCTGTGCTTTCTGTGAGGTTTTTGAAAGATCAATTTGCAGATGTTAGTCCCCACCCCTTTGTCCACAGGGAGGAGAGTTGGCTGGGCTAATTTGATTCTGATCTTTTGAAATATTATTTTTGATTACAGAAGAGACCCAGGAGGGCTTGGGGCACGAAGAACAAATAAGTTAAGGAACATCTCTGGAACTGAAAATGAGGTTCTGAGATTCCTCCAAAGTCTAGACTCCTCATTTCAAGCTTTATTTGGGAAAGAGAATAGTTTTACTTTAAATTAACCTAATAAAGTTGAGGGGGAGGAAAACAATAACTGCTTGGTTTACAAAAGCATTCCCACGAGTCTTGGTTTCAGATTCACAGACAAAATGAGGCCGGGTATGAATTAATTAGCTTTGTTTTGCATGGAACATGAGCCGTCAAGGGCCCTTCCCATGTGAGCACAGGTCAGCAAAGGTGCATGCTCTTGGGCCTAATCTCCATCCAGGTAAGCCCAGGGTGGGCTGATTACTCGTGCTTCCCTCACTCTTCTTCAGCATCTGCTCATCAGGATGCTCAGGCCAGCACACGTTTTCAAGCCAGTTATCAGAAACAAAGGAAAACATATCCCCCAAACTTCTCTCTCCCCACTGAGATTCAAACCAGTAAAACTGGTATTACAGTGAATGTGCTGACAGGGCACCAGTCAGCAAGACCGAATCAGAAAAGCTTAAAATTGAGAAGACAAAAGCAGTGCTGAGTTTAGCCAACCAGAGCAGGCATCTCTGTGCTGCTCTCTGGTGCTCCTGGACAATGCTTAAATACTCTTTAAGGGGGAATTCACTTTTACATATCAGGTATTGTGAGAATGATAGGGTAACCTATGACTCAGTTTGCCCCTGCCTGTCCGGTTTACACTTACTATCATGGCTTAATTATTAACACTGTTCCCTCTCACTTTCAAAAGTGTCCCAATTTGGACAATATATTTTACGACCACTTGATGATAATCATTTTCATAGCTAGTATTTAGTAAGAGCTGATCACATGCCAGGCAATCATGAGCTTGGTGCTATCAACACTATCATCATCATTATTATCATCACTAGGCCAAGATTACATGCCTCCTGAAGTGGCAAAGGAAGGGCTTAACACCTAACATTTGGATTCAGTCAGAGTGCTAAGCTACTTTTCCCTTACCTTTAAGCTACATTACCTCTGAGCTTTTGTTTTATAAACTTAATGAGAAAAAGATTCTTGTCCCTTTATGAATGCCCCAGGTCTTCCCACTGACTTCCTCCTTGGTTGTCAATCGAAGGGAAGAAACTGATTTTCAGGGGGTCTTGTTATATCTCAGATATTATGTTATGTGAAGCCCCGCTTGATAAATTATGAATTAGGCTCTGGGAGCTCAACTGATTCACCAAAGAGTACACTGACAGTAAGTTGCAGAGCGAAATTTCAAACCTAAGTTGTTCTGATTTCAATACCTGCCTTCTCATTATACTACCTTGCCTACTAAGCCACTTTCAATTTCTACAAGCCTGTGTAAATTTGAAAAGGTAGAGTAGCAGTTCTTCCCATATGCTGTCACTGTAAAACTGCCCACAGAGAGGATAAAAGTATCCTTCCTCACAAGTTGATAAATTGACTCCTATATCTAAAAAGTGTCTTTTTCCCAGCTCAGGCAGACCTGTAACATCTATCTGCAAATGGACACTCCACCAAAATACTCTTGGACCAAAAGGTCTAAGAAATGTATAGCAGTTAGACCCCATCTTTCCCTTGACATGGATCTATTGTTTATATGGCAGTTAAGGGTAACAATAATCTGAAAATAACTGATATGTATTCAATGAATAATGCATCTATCTAATGCTCTCAATAATAATCAAAAGCTAATATACATGTACTCACTTATTCAAATAAATATATATGGATTCTTTATCCACTTATTGGAACTTACTATGTGCCAGACACTCTTGTAGGCACTGCAGATTCAGTTGTGAACAAAGGAGGCAAAGCCCTGCCTCATGGAGCTTACCTATTCCTACATGATACAATAACAGATAATAATGATCTCATTGAAAGAAAGCACACATGGGATAAGAAATAGAGGGTGGCGGGAAAGGACTGGGTGCTAATTTAGGTAGGAATGTCAGGAAGTCAGAAGAAAATGTAAAAGTGTGGGCATGAGCCATGTAAAGACATCCAGAAAAGTGTTCCAGGCAGAGGGAAGAGCAAGAGTTCTTATATTCTGCCAGACCCTATGCTGAAAGCTTCGTACCAATTATCTCATTTAATCCTCACAAACCCCCTGAGGGTAAGTGTCATTATTTCTTCATTTTGCTGCTAAGCATTTGAACCTTGAAGTAACTTGCTTAGGAGCACACGATTTTCTAATGAGGGAGGCATGAGTTAAACTGAGCCTTCTGGCTCTGAGATAACATCCCCACCTCAACTACTAAACAGTTCCATGCTTTGGTCAGTCTGCAACAACCTCTTTGCCAGCACTTTTAACACAAGATTTAGAGAATGGCTGATTGCTGAGAAACAACATCTGCAAAGCCTGCATCACCAATGGATCCACAGGGATAGGGCATTTAAATGATTGGGTCCCCACGTTCACCAGATACGGCACTCTAGCAACTGCTGGGATCTCTTGCTGCTATGACTCTCCTTCAGCTCTGTTAGAGGCTGTGGGACCAGCATCCCAGGCTCTTCCTCCGGACACCCAAGAAATTCTCCCACATGACGTCAGTTTAAGCCAAGCAAGAATTTTCCGTCCCTCCATTGCATTATTTGTAGGAAATGGCTTTATTGTTTTTCTGTATGCAAAGATAATATAGGCTCATTGCAAAAACTATTTAGAAATAGAAAAAATAAAATCACCACCATTGAGAGATAACTAATAAAAAGCCTACCATTAAGAGATAACTACTAAACATCCTGATATCAGAATTCATGTAATGTGTCCACTTACCGTGGACATTAAGGCTGTTTCCAGTTTTTTAGAATTATAACATTTTTATGAGTATTATATTATTATGTGTGTATGTATATATATATATATATATATATATATATATATATATATCTTTATGCCCTCAGACACTGATTTTTTTTAGAATGAATTAGTAACAGTGTATTATTTGAGCATTCATTTTAAGGTCCTTGCTATAAACTGCCAAATATCCCCAAAGAAAAACTGTAGCAACTTACACTGCCCCTTTCAGTGCACAAAGGTGCCTTTTTTCCTGCATCCTCAGTAACACCTCCAACTTTTCACTTTCTTTTGAAGCTTCTATCACCACAAAAACAAGGATACAGCCTCTGTCCTAGTTGAATGTCCCCCCACAGAGCCTTCGCCATCCCCAGCCTGAGCAGAGAAGACACAGAGGAGAGTGTGTCATCCCTCAGCTCCCCCTTGGCCTTGGGGACTGGTCCCATCAGAAGGTTTATTCAGAGGCTGAGGGTACAGTGAAGACAGGAGACATCACTGTGGTTCTCAGCTTGGAAGACTGCCTCACTCTCACACCCTTTTCTTTCTTTATACATTCCTCCATCAGCTCCTGCCCTTCCATTTATCATCTATACTTGGAGACTCTTAGCTCAGGACTCTTCTTTGAGCCCAGACTCATGTATTCAGCATTCTCTAGATATTAATTCCACTTGTATGACTCACAGACATCTCAAACTCAGCAGCCCAAAACAAAGCTCTTCATCTCCTCTTGCCCTCTCCACACCCCTTGCCATCTTCCCCTTCCTCTAATGTGTCCTACTCACTCAGTAGCTCCTTCTTCTTCCCAGGAGCCAGAGGTCCAGACCCTAGGAGCTTTTCCTCATGGCTCTCATTCACTCTCTATCCCACAGCCCATCAATCAGTCATGAAGGCCCATCAATTCAGTGTCTCAAATATCTCTACTATCCACCCCTTTTCACCCCTTCCACAGCCAGGACCCCTAAGCCAATAGGTGACTATAATTATCTCTACATGGGGATTTATTGAATGGGAGAGAAAAGAAGAGGAAAATAGCATTTCCCAAACATTTGTATATGCCTGATGCTGGGATCTTGTTAATGCTCATTAGATATACAATAAACCCATGGAGTAGTACCATTTCACAGATGAGGAAACTGAGGCTCAGAGAGGTTAATCTGCCCAGGGTTCCATACCAGGGAGACTATTTGGAGCCTTATATGTGATGCTTGCTGTACCATTCTATAGCAAGAGTGAAGCTAGGGGGCTGGTTCAGTGGCCCTTGTAGTGGTTTGAGTAAGAGGGAACTCTCCTCAATGGTAAGTTCATTGAGGATAAAGAGTGAGTGTGAATTTCTTTGTGTATCTTGTAAGGTTTAGCTCAGGGCCTGATCAAGTCCTGCCTCTGTCATTTATCAGAGACAGGAGAGTTTAGCAGTTAAGGGAATGAACTCTGGAACTGGACTGTCTGGATTCAAACCCCAGCTCTGCTAATTACTGGCTATGGAACCTTGAGCAAGTTACTCAGCTCTCTGTAGTGGGCTAAACAGTGGCCCCCAAAAATATATGTCCATACCCTGAGTCCTAAATCCTGTGAATATGAATTTATTTGAAAGAGCCTTTGCAGATCTAATTAAGTAAAGGATCTCAAGACGAGAAGGTCATCCTGGATTAACCAGGTGGGCCCCAATTCTAGCGACACAGAGGAGAGACAGAAGAGAAAAGGACCACATGAAGAAGGAGGTAGAGTGAGGCAGCCACAAGCTGAGGAGCTGCAGCAGCCACAAGATGCTAGAAGAGACAAGAAGCAGAATCTCCCCTAAAGCCTCTGGAGAGAGTGTGGCTCTGCCAATACCTTGATTTCAAACTTTTTCCCTCCAGAGCCATGAGCACATTTCTGTTGTTTTAAACCACAGAGTTTATGGTCATTTGTTATGGAGGCCCTAGCAAGTGAATATATTTGGTCAATGAAAAGAGTCAAACTATGTAAAATATTTGAAGGGATTTATTCTGAGCCAAATATGAGTGCCCAATGGCCCACGATACATCCTTCAGGAAAACCTGAGAACATGAGCCCAAGGTGGTCAGGCTACAACATTTTAGGGAGACATAAGACATTAATCAATACATGTAAGATATACATCGGTTCAGTCTGGAAAGGTGAGACAACTAGAAGTGGGGTGGGGGGCATTGGGATCATAGATAGATTCAAAAATTTTCTGGTTGGCAGTGGGTTGAAACAGTTAAGTTATTGTCTAAAGACTTGGAATCAATAGAAACGAATGCCTGGATTAAGATACGGGGTTGGTGAGACCAAGATTTTATCATGCAGATGAAGCATCCAGGCAGCAGGCGTCAAAGAAAAGATGGCAAATGTTTCTTATCAGACTTGAAGAGTCTTAAAGTCTATGTTGATGTTAATGCTGGTCAGCTGGGCCTGAATCCCAAAAGGGAGGAGGGTATAATGAGGCATGTCTGACTCCCCCTTCCTATCATAGCCTAAACTAGTTTTCTTAGGTTAACTTTGGAATGCCCTTGGCCAAGAGGAGGAATCCATTCAGATGGTCAGGGGGCTTAGAATTTTAATTTCGGTTTACGATTCTGTATACCTCAATTTTCTCATTCATACGTAAGCTTATAATACTTACCTTGCAGAGCTGTCATGAGAATTAAGTGAATCAATATACATAAGGCACTTTACAGCGGTAGCTGTCACATAATCGGTGTTTTCAAAGTAGTGTTTATTATGACCCTTTAATAGTTGTGTGACCTTAGTTATTTTTGAGCCTGTGGTCTTTTTCCCTTGAAAAAGTAATAACAAAAATACTTAGCCTAACTATAGTATCTCAAAGTGGGAGTTTGCCTCTTTCACTTAAAAACGGTCAAAGAATTCCTTCAAGCATCTTCTGACCTATGAACTGCTAACATTCAGGTGTCAAGTCTCACTGAAGACAACTCACAACCCACCAAAGGCAGTGATTGAAAAGATACCATGTGCCCTTGACCCGACAAAATGCTCTGGCCAGGACATTAGGTGCTAGGGGATGTGGGTCCTTTTCTCTTTCTCCTGGCTGCCACCTGGTGTGGCCGGGGGAGGGAGATGAGAAGCGGAGATGGGGGTGAAGTGTGGGGCAGATGGCCTCTGACTAATAACTGAGCTGGGTCATTTGTAATGATGACAAGGCATTACCCAAGAGATGAGGCAAAGGTGTATAATTAATACACAAGCAGTCCTTAAAACTCTCTCTGAAACCCTCCTTCCATTCCTTCCCTTGCTAATGAAGTCAGAGACAGGGTAAAAGCCTGTAATTACACTTGAAGTAATTAGAACGCTGTGAAATGGAAAGCTTAAGACAGGAAGCTCAAACTAATGGAATACCTATTGCTCTTGTTATTCTGACTCATCCTTCCTAGGATGGTGCTTTTGTAGGTCTCCACTGGGGAGCTGAAGACTGTACTGAATTTGCATAAAATGTAGACACACATGCACATCACCCTTTCCTTCCCCAGAGTGGCCAAGAAAGTGTCAGCATTGTGCCTTCCTCAGTTTCTACAACTTTTACCTATTAATGAAAGACCAAATCAGCAGAACAGATTAATTTAAAAGCCCTTCCAAAGATAATTTTTAAAAATCTGAGCATTTTATATTTAAACTTTTTTTACATGCAATTCTCCCTTTCTAGCTCAGTGCTTCTCAACATCAATGTGCCTGCAGAGCACCTGAGGGTCTCCTTAAAATGCAGATTTGGATTCAGTGGGTCTGGGGTGGGGCTGAGATTCTGCATTTCTAACAAGCTCCCCAGCCTTGCTGCTGCTGTTGGACGGGGGAGTGGTATACAATGTGAGTAGCAAGGATAAAGTCCTTCTTGGTCCCACAAGTGACTTCACTTTCCTCCACAGCAATGATTCCAAACTTCTCATGTAGAGCTTGAAAAATGAATAAAAATTTTCAATTGAAGGGAAAGAAGAGCAAGTGAGGAGGAAGAGTGGAGGAAGAAGGGAAAAGTGGGTGGGAAGGTAGGAAGGGAGGGAGGGAGGGAGGGAGAGAGAATGTGTGTGAGTTCGTGTATGTGCATGATCAGGTGTCTCTTCTTATAAGGACACCAGTCCAATCAGATTGGGGCCCTACCCTTATGACCTCATTTGACCTTAATTATCTCCTTAAAGTTTTTATCTCCAAATACAGTGACTCTGGGGGTTACAGCTTCAATATGGGATACACAATTTCATCCATAACACTAAGTGACCTTAGATGAACTCCTTAATTTCTCTAAGACTTGATTCCTTCATCCCAATTGCTTGGAGACAAGAAAGAGTTAAATCATTAAATGACAAGAAATGATCATTAAATGACATTTCATAAATGATCATTAAATGACAAGAAATGAGTTCATCTAATTAGCATTAAGTGTTCCACATATCATCTGTCACAGAATAAGTGTCTTGGTTGTGTTCTTCCAGACACAGTCAAGCATTGGAGGGTAAGTAGATTATTTGTGAGGTGAAGGAAACAGCAGGAGAGAAAAAAGAGAAGTGAGATAGCAAAGAGAAAACAGCCAATAAAATAAAGGGTGCATTAGTTAACAAATCACCACTGGGAGAAACTGGAGCTTCATTTCACTGGGACAAGTCAGGCACCCATATTGAACAAACACCCAGTGTCAGCCCTCACTACTGAGACAAAAGAGCCGAGATATTTATGTACCAAAGACCATCAGTCACTGGTTGAGATCTGCTTCCAAGGGATGACTACCTCCCCACTTCCATCTTGCTGTGCTTGTGGATAGTAGCCATGGATACCAGAGGAAACTTTCAGGCAAAGAGATGCCTGAATTGGCTGTTGGAAGCCCTACCAGCTCTGCAAGAGGGAGGCCTGGGAAGTTCTGGGCAGTTTTTCCTTGCCTGCTACAGTGAGAGACCAGGAAACCTTAGTTCTCCGTAGTGGTTGGTCCTAGTAATTGTACTAGGAGTTTGCAAAACACTAGAGAGACTCCTGTACCAAAGAAATCTCAGGCCAAACAAGTGTAAGGAATGCTTGTTTCATGGGATTCACAACTAAAGCTCTGTTGAAGTCCTGTAGTTGAAATGTTAAACTTTGTATAATCCTATAAATTCCAAACTCATTTACACCAACACTTTTTCAAATAATATGTATTTACCTTTTAAGGAATAAAAGTTCTATAATGCATGTTTTGGGGCTATCAAATTAAAGCTAGCTGAGATTTCACTACATTGTAAGATGTTTTTAATCTGTTTCTACTCACCATTGTAGCCTATGAACAGTAACTGGTACCTAGAAAGTATTCAATAAATATCTGTTATTGTAACTGTTTTAAAGAATATAAAAAAAATTCTGAAAATATTTTCAATAAAAACAGCCTCATGAAAAATGACTCTCTAGTTCCAAAAATGACTGTTTCGAAAGACTTCGGAATAAAGTTCAGCTGAATATAAACTTGTTGAAATACTGAGCAGTTTATTCTCCTTGCTTTGTTCCCACTTAATGAAACAGTGCATTTTTCTAAAATTGAAGACCCATGCTGTTAGAAGCCATTGTCCACTTTGCTAGAGAAGAACCACTTCTCCCCAGATCCGTGGGTGGATGCAGATAAGAGGGCTAATGGTACTAAGGCCTCTCTGGTCCAACCTTGCTAAAAAGAGTATTTCAACTTCTAAATCCTCCCTCTACACTTCACCCTTTTGTTGAATACTAAGGTTTGCACCTGTGACCCCATCATAGGGTATAAAGAATCAAATTAAGGAACTTCTGACAAATGGATCCCTTTTAACCTTGATGTCAGGCACAATTTGCTATTTGTTGGCCTCAAATGTCAGCTGAAGCCAGGGTGAGAGTCCTTGTGACTCTGACTTTCTCATCTTCTGTCAAGACCTAAAGCATTTTTGAGCTGGGTGCAGTTGCTACAGCTGCAGCAAAGTGTACATGATAAGTGGGATTTGCAACAAATAGGCTTTTCTCTACAGATCACTGCTCCAGTTGGGCTTCTTTGCTATTTTTGCCCAACTGTCCTGAGAATAGCAACATCAATGGCAACTCATTTCTTGTCCATCATTATTACAATGAAAAATTCAAAACCCTGATTATTACTCATTCCTTGGAGCTGAGATGGAAACCTCGAGGCTGTAAAACACCACTTGTATACCCAAATGCCCATTTCCTAAGAAGGGATATTTCCTGGGAAATTGCTTATCTTCCTAGCATTTGCAAAAGGCAAAAGCTGGCATACAGTAGCATTTTCTTCATTCCCTGCAAATGGAACATTGGTATTTCTAGATAAGTTAAGAGTGAGGAGAGAGAACTATGGCCATCCAGGTTCTCTTGGGATTAGTCTCCTTTACTCTTCCTTGAATAAAGATAATGTGAATCTTGTAAGACACTGTCTGTAAAATGGTCTACCCACACCTGCTAATGCAATGAGTGGGCTATTATAGGGCCGAGAGGGTTGTTGGGGTCTCCTGACATCAGGGGAGTAGGTGACCAATGCGGATGAATCACAATGACAATGGACATTAGTATTTCTGAGACCAGATTTGTTTGGGAAATGGGATACATTGCCTTTCTTTAGTCAGATGTTGTCCTGGCTACTGCTTACAGATGACCCTTGTTTTGTCACTTACTCATGTGTCTTCCCCACTTCCCTTGCTGGAAAAAACGTGCAGAGAAACTGTAAGCTCCGTGAGGTTAGACATTGCATCAGATTTTACTTACCACTCTATTCTTAGTGCCTACCACCAAGTCTAGCATACAGTGGGGGCCAAATAAATATTTGTAGAATGAATAAAGCATCTGTAACATAATATGTACTCCTTAAGTGAGAGTTTCCATTGCTACATTGCTATCATTGTTGTCATCATCATCACAAACATGATCATGATCATGGTCATCATTACCAGGTGATTTTTTTACAGAAATATTTTCTCTTCAGATTATAGCAGACTGAACATCAAGATCTTTAAATCTGCTTGTCCTAGGGAAGTTCTCTGGACTTCTTGCATTTGGCACTAGTAGAGACTTGGTATTTTCATTGCTGTAACACAGACAAAAATAAATGAAAATTTCAAAGAATGAGTTTACCTCCTGGCCTTTCATGGTGATCTCCTTTCCTGTCTTTCTGTGAATAATATGTGTACAGTATCATTGCTCTCTGCTAATAAAAAATTACTTCAAAACTTAAAAAAAGTACTTCAAAAGCTTAAAAAACCAAACATTTGTTATCTCAGTTGCTGTATGTCAGGAATCAGGGTACAGCTTTTCTGAGTCCTCTTCATATATTTTTGTCTCTGTGTTACTGCAATGAAAACACCAAGTCTCTACTAGTGCCAAATGCAAGGGTTTCTCATGAAGCTGCAATCAAGGTGCAGTTATCTCAAGGCTCAACTTAGAGGAGAATCTTCTTCCAGGCTTACGCTCCTGGCTGTTAGCCAGAGACTTCAGTTTCTTGCCACATGGTCTGTCTATAGGACTACTCACAATCTGTCAGCTAGCTTCCTCCAGAGCAAAGGCTCTGAGAGAGAGAAAGAATGAGAGATAGTGGTAAGATATAAGATATAAGATAGTGATAAGAGATAAGTCACAGTCATTTTGTAACCTATTCTCAGAAGTGATATCCCATCACTTTTGTATTATTCTATTTTTTAGAAGCAAGTCGCTGGGTCCATCCCACACTTGAGGGGAGAATATTACACAATAGCATGAATATTATGAAGATAGGATCATTGTGGACCATGTTAAATAGAAGCTTCCAGCCACAATGGATGATGTTGTTCCCTCTAAGCATGAGTGTAGCTTCAACTTGGTTCTTTTTTTTTTCTTAATTGTACTTTAAGTTCTAGGGTACATGTGCACAACATGCAGGTTGGTTACATATGTATACATGTGCCATGTTGATGTGCTGCACCCATTAACTCATCATTTACATTAGGTATATCTCCTAATGCTATCCCTCCTCCCTCCCCCCACCCCACAACAGGCCCCAGTGTGTGATGTTCCCCTTCCTGTGTCCAAGTGTTCTCATTGTTCAATTCCCACCTATGAGTGAGAACATGCAGTGTTTGGTTTTTTGTCCTTGCGATAGTTTGCTGAGAATCATGGTTTCCAGCTTCATCCATGTCCCTACAAAGGACATGAACTCATCCTTTTTTATGGCTGCATAGTATTCCATGGTGTATATGTGCCACATTTTCTTAATCCAGTCTATCATTGATGGACATTTGGGTTGGTTCCAAGTCTTTGCTATTGTGAATAGTGCCACAATAAACATACATGTGCATGTGTCTTTATAGCAGCATGATTTATAATCCTTTGGGTATGTACCCAGTAATGGGATGGCTGGGTCAAATGGTATTTCTAGTTCTAGACCTTTTAGCCCTTTTCTCCTTTGAGAATCATGGGTTGCCAACCAATCATGGCTTCAATGCCTTGTCAAACTTCTCTTTCAAAAAAGGAAGAAAGAGGAAAAAGAGAATGGGACAAGTTCTGCTAGGAATAGCTTTCAGTATGATGATGATTTTAGTTGTCATTGCGCAGGTGCATTGGCATTGAATCATGAAGAGAACCGCAATTACTTCTATTGACTTGTCTGAGCATCAATTTTCTGATGACTTACTTTATGACTTCCTAATGAATATATTAAAAATAGAACTCTAGAAGTTATATTTAGCCCTTTAGTTCCTTTCCCTCCCTGCACCCCATCCCCCACTTTGCCTGGAGGCTTAATGATATATTTGAGATCATTTTGAAACTTTATCTACTTTGTCTTAACATACATGTTTAAAGTTGTCTGTCTAATTTTAATATACATCCTTCATCAACAATTAAGCCACCTCCCAATTGACTGCATTATCTGTAATTCTTCACTCACTAACTCTCTCATATCACACACCATAAGAAGAAAGAGAAAAGGGAATAACCTATATTAGGAGAGGCTCATTGACAAACCCTGAAATATAAATTGACACAAACGTGAATGCAGAGTTTTGTAAAAAAAAAAAAAAAAAAAAAAAGGTTTAAAAAATAGATCTACAGTTAAATGACTAGTATCTCTACCTTTTGTTACCTTTTGTTTCCTTTTTTGCAGATTGTTTCCCAGAGAAAGCTGTCCAAATCCTTGCTGAAGCATGGGAACACAGCAGGGAAATCTTCCATCACGGTAAGCAGGCACTCCCTAAGCAGCTGTCTGCCTGAGTGGAGAGCCTGGGCGGACTGGCCAGCCCAAACCAGACACTTGGGAAGCAGACTTTCTGATATTGGGAGTTGGTGCCACAACTACTGAACTATTGAAATCACTCCCTTATTTTTCTTTCTTTCTCTTTTCTGACAATACAATTTTGATCCTTCTAACTCTAGGAAAAATAAAAAAGGAAAAGCATTTGAAAGTAAGGTTATTTAATTCTAGTAAGCACTTCTGCAATTGCAAGATAGATTTTAGTGGAGGAGAAAGATGTAGTTGTTGAGCACAGTGAGATTACGGAATTGTCTAGCATTTTCACACAATCAAAGCTTCAAAGCTACGTGTCCTCGTCTCTCATTTATTTTGAGAATTAAAATTTTGCTTTGATAGCATTTACTTCAAGGTTTGGTTTGTTTCCTGACAAACAAAGAGCTCAGCATTTAACACTCCTCTTTGATATAATAGTTTGGAGGTTTACTGTGTGATTCAGTAGCCACTAGCCACATGTGATTATTTAAATTTTAATAAAACTATTTAAAATTAAAGTAAATATTCAGTTCCTTAATCACACTGGCCACATATCCAGTGCTCAATAGTTACAAGTGGTTAGCAGCTACCATATGGGACAGTGTAGATTATAAAACATTTCTATAATTGCAGAATGTTCTATTGGGTAATGCTAGAAGTATTTCTAAATAAGAGCTTACATTTTTGAATGGAATGCCTGGTATTTGAAAGTTCGACATCTTCTATTAAGAGACCTTGAAAAAGGTAGAGGATGTTGTCCAACCATTTGGATGTATGGAGTGAAAAAAGAAACAAACAAAAAGACAAGCAAAAGAAACAAGGTAGAAAAAACTACAAGGAAATTCTGAATTGCTAGAGAGGCAAATTGCCAGAAAACGAACCTCTTGAGTTATTTTGAACATTCCTTTTTAACTAGAGAGAAACCAATTTTTTTTTTTTTTTTTTTTTTTTGAGACAGTGTCTCAGCCTGTCACCCAGACTGGAGTGCAATGGCACGATATCGGCACACTACAACCTCCACCTCCTGGGTTCAAATGATTCTCCTGCCTCAGCCTCCCAAGTAGCTGGGATTACAGGTGCCCACCACCACACCCAGCTAATTTTTGTATTTTTAGTAGAGATGGAGTTTCACTATGTTGGCCAGGTTGGTCTCCAACTCCTTACCTTGTGATCCGCCCCCCTCGGCTTCCCAAAGTGCTGGGATTACAGGTGTGAGCCACTGCACCCTGCCCTGATTTTTTTTTTTTTTTTTAAGCACAGGAAAAATTCAAAAGAGCTGTCAGTGAAAGTTGTGGCCATTCTCACAAGAACTTACCTGAGTTTGTTGCTTGAATATTTTAAATGACACTGTCATGTTAAAGCTTTTTCTTGACTGCCATCTTCAGTCATGAATCAAAGTGTTCTTTGAAGACACTGATGGTGCTCTGAAAAGCTATGGACCCACGGGTTCACTCCCAAAGCCCACAAAACCAGTAGATCCAGGTATGAATTTGCTATGGTTCTTTCTCAAAAGAACAAAATCTCATCTTGCCATATTTTCTCTGAGATATCCTGAGATTTTCTTTCTCCACATATCCAAGAAAAGTTTGATCTTTTTCTTTTCTTTCTTTTTTTTTTTTTTTTTTTTGAGACAGAGCCTTGCCCCTCTCCCAGGCTGGAGCACAGTGGCACGATCTCATCTCACTACAAGTTCCACCTCCCGGGTTCACGCTATTCTCCTGCCTCAGCCTCCCGAGTAGCTGGGACTACAGGCGCCCACCACCACACCTGTCTAATTTTTTTTGTATTTTTTTAGTACAGATGGGGTTTCGCCATGTTAGCCAGGATGGTCTCGATCTCCTGACCTCGTGATCCGCCCGCCTCACCTCCCAAAGTGCTGGGATTACAGGCATGAGCCACTGCCCCTGGCCCCATTTAATTTTAAGTATTTAAATGCTCCTCAACTTTGAGTCTTTAGATCAAAACATTGGCTTTAATAGCTTCTAGAAAACACTTGAAAAGGTGCATGAAATTTTCTAGGTCTCTGCAGATGGTGAAAATCATAACTTTCATCAGTTTTCCAAAGGTGTCTGTGATCACAAAATACTTAAGGGTCAGTAATCAAATGAAGTATAAGAGGCATTAAGGTGGTAAGGGACAAAAGAGAACCAAATGAAAAATACAAATATGATAGTTCTTGGGTTATCAACCAGTTCTAGAGTTTTTCCTATATACCTGGACTCACAATCTCTACTCTCAGTTGTTCACACATTTTTGGGTCTATCTGTCTTAAGGTAGCCATCTTAGCTTTAAGATTAAGTGTAAATAATTTAAATTTTCCAAAATATTTGGAATATTACCAGTGACTATTGAAAGTATATGGACCCAACTCATAATGGAATTGTTGAGCTCAGATAGAAAAGAGGTAAAACTGAATTATCAGTATCTTGATATAAGCAATTTGATAAGCGTATCCATGTGCTGTGGCCACAGAATACATGGTAAATCCTAACATTATTTATAAAGGTTTTAACTTATCTGCAACTTGACTGGCTTCTAGATTTTTGTTGCTTTTGTTGTCATTATTTTTCTCCTGACTTTCTCCACCAATTTCTGCTCCAAGGCTTTGTTGAGAGTCACTAACTATTAAGTATTGGAAAATGACCTATTATGAGAAAGTCTTTTGGACAGTAATTTCTTCACTTATACCAAAATCTTTGTCAGGAATGGTCTGTACTTGGGTGTTAGGGCTTAAATCCTTACGTATACCCATATCTTCATCTCAGAAAACCCAGGGACAGTCTTTTGAAAAATAGGAATTAGAAAAATTTGACATAAAAACTAGTTTATTCCAACATTTCTTGTTGGTCTCACTCAAAAAGAAATATTGCTGTTTTTCCTTCTCTGTAATTTACCAAAGGGAGACATTGTAGTTAATTATAGAAATACTATCCAATGCCATGTGACCTTTAAAGAAAGAAGCTCTTCCAAACTGCTCTTCTATTTTTTCCTTCAGCTTGGGTCCCATCTCTTATGTTCTCTTGCTCAGTATAAATGGTGTCTAGTTATTTACCATTGTCTATTCCAGGGAGTTCCCTTGAATACCTAGAATTGCTGTGCTGTAGTCACTAGGGTTGTGGAAAAACTCTTTGCCCAACATTTGTCTTTGTTGAGTTTTGAACCAAACAGGAACTAAATTTGCTCATGGGTTCTGGAGCTAAGGAGTTCACCCTCTATTGCAGCTGATGTGTGCTTTTTCCTTTAGGTGATTGCTGAAGAATTATCTGGCAATGACGACTATGTTGAGCTTGCATTCAATGCACGGAAATTGGATGACAAGGTAAAGCGTTTGGCATTAACCTTATTGAAGGAAGTAACAAAGCTAGCACACAGTTTAATCAGATTTCCCCCTGCAACTATTTTTCCCTTTCCACCCACATTATCAAACAGATCCAAAAATTCAGAGAGGTCTACAAAGTAAACTTTCCCCCACATTAAAGATCAATTAATGAGAAAGGGAAGGGACTGTAATTAAAACAAGACAATTCTATGACACCAAGACTGTTTCCAAATGCCACCGGTGAGATGTGCACAGGTAAATATGATTTAACCCCATTTCTAGGGACATTCTAAGGGAGAGGAGAAGATATGAAAGGGAAGAAAAATGACATTTATTGAGCACCTATGTTTGCCAAGTACAGGTTTAAGAGCTTTTTATGTGGTATCACATTTATTCATTTGTACAACTCCTATTTATCACGTATTAATAGTCAGCCCACTTATGCATTCACTGGTTCACTCTTTTATTTGTTAATTTGTTCATTCATTCATCATTCATTTTCCAAACCTTTGTTGGGTGCTTGTTATGCATGAGGTGCTGGAAAAAAGGCATATCAAAAATGGACATTCCACTCTCACATCTGCAACCTGGAATTCATCATTGAAGTAAAACATACATCTAAAAAACAAATGATATAGTAATAATATATCCACAATAGAATGTGATAAGTGATATATAATAGTGTGTCCTGGTAAGGCCAACTTATTCTACCTGGGGACATCAGGAAATACTTTATCCTTATAAACTAATTATATTTGGATTTTAAAAGTGTCTTGAATAGATTATATGAAACCATCACAGACTGCTCCATTCTTAACATGAGCATGAACTAGGTGCTGGGAACTGCAGTGTGCATAGATGTCAGTTGGGAGCAAGCTTTTAACTTCACCTTTTCACAACTGTTATGCTCCTTCTCCTTCATCATCTCCCCAAATTTCAGAAAAACTCACAAAACTTCTTTATAGTATCTTCCCTGGTGCTATTATAAGCCACTGGGTCAGTGGATAGCAGTTTTAAGCTACTTGCTTAATGGCTTATAATGGTTTCTCTACACTTAGTATGCTCTTAAGTACCTCTAGTTTGTCATCTAACTGATTTATGTTATAGTAAAAGGGGGCGGGCTTGGAGGTTTGTTGGACCAGTTGGCTTTGAAGTGTTTGAGCAGTTTCCCTTTAGTCAAATGAACACTTGCTCATAGAATTGAAAGAGCCCCCTGCAGCACTTACAGTGGTTCTAAATGGCTATTCCCACCATTGGCTGTACTGATTGTCCAGGACCCTGGTCATTGCTGAGCCTGAATGCCCCAGTGCTGGAAACCCCAGTTCCTTCATAATGTGACTATGTCTTGTCCAGATCCTTAGTAATTCAGAGAACAAATCAGAGGCCTTTGCTCCAGTTTGGACTGGAAGTTAAATGGTCTCAGATGGAAAGAGGGCAAAGTTGTAGAATGGAGGAGCAAAATGATAACATAAAGATCATTTCACACAACCTCTTCAGGAAATGAGGGCTCAGCAAGGTATGATGATTTACCCAAAGACACAACACTACTGCTCTGGTTTTCTATTGCTGCATGGTAAACAATCTATTCTGTGTGGTAAACCATCAAATCTAGCAACCTAAATGAAGAACTATTCCGTTATAGCTAATGATTGTGAGGGTCAGAAATTCAATCAGGGTTCAGTTGGGCAGTTCTGCTGTCTATGATGTTGATGCAAATCACTCAGTGGTACTCAGCTTGTGGATGAGCTTGTCTGGAGGTTCTACACTAGCTCTACGCACATGCCTCGCACATGAGATGGCTGAATGGCTGGGCTTAGCTGGAACAGTCTACCAGAGTGCCTACTTGGTGGTCCTGGGGTAGTCACACTTCCTTTAGAGTATCTGGCTTCTCCCAGAGAAAGCATTTCAAGAGAACAAGGGAGATGCTCGGTGGCCTTTTCTCACCCCTTCCTGGCTTTGGAAGTCATGCATCATCACTGCTGCTGCATTCTTTTAGTTGCAAGTAAGTCATAAGGCCAGCCCAGATTCTAGGACTCCACATCGTGTTAGGGCAGTGGCAAAATCATACTGGAGAAAAAGCATGTGGACTATGAACTTGTGGTGGTCATGTTTACAAAATGCAAACTGCCACAATATTTTTGTGATAGAAATAGAATAAAATAATATAATTATTTCATGTCACAGCTGGAAAAATAGTTCCCAGATGCTCTCAAGGAGGACCCTTTTCTAGCTTTTAGCATTAAACAATTTTATAACTATCTACATGTTTGCAGTTAAAACTTACTGTATCTAGTTATTGTATGACTAAAAGTCACTATAAAATAAACAATGCTCCTAATTTTTTATTATGTTAATGAATATCATGAAAGTCACTAGTTTCTACATACACTTAAAAATTGAAGTATGAATATGTAGGAAAAATATGCTATATCCAATTCAGACGGTGGTTGTAGGATGCCTGCCTGGATCTCCAGTCCCTTGGCAGTAACTCTGGTAGCCCCCAGGAGTCTACATACTTTAGGTAGAAAGCCACTGTCTAATCCAACTGCCTTATTTTATAGATGAAAATTTTAAAGTTTAGAGATGTGGCATGACTTACTGAAAGCCACACAGGCACACACTCACAAAAAAATCAGTGCAAGAGAGGGACTCAAACAGATTGCCTGACAAAATCTAAGTCTTTTGGAGCAGAGAGTTAATGAATAGAAGGTGGTTTGGTCTCAGAATATGGAAGACTTGGAAATGTTTTCATGTATTTCAGGGAAGTAGGAAGCCAGGAAGAGGGGAGGTAAGAGGGGAGGTAAGAGGGGAGGTCAGGCAGCAGTCCTCCAAGTGTGATGCATGGTCCCAATACCTTTGCAGGGGAACCCATGAAGTCAATACTATTTTCATAATAATGCCAAGACATAATTTTCTTTATTCACTCTCATTCTCTCACACATGTAAAGTGGAGTTTTCCAGAGGCTGCATGATGCCTAATATCACAACAGATTGAATACAGCACAAATATAAGGATTCTGCTGCATTCTATTAAGCTAATCATTAAATTGGTTTGCAAAAATGTAAACTAATACCATTCTCACCATTTTTTAAGTTTGGAAAATATAATTATAATAATTTTTCCATTAAAATACTATTTTTGTTATGATGTAGTAGGTTTATTTTATTATTTTTAAACAATGTAACCAATATTTTAACAATTTAACAGTTTTATAATATGGTAAATATTAATACATACAACAAAACAAAAGCTCTTTGGTATCCCCAATAACTTTTAAGAATGTAAAGGGGTCTTAAGACCAAAAGTTTGAGAACCCCTGTTATAGGGTATATGGGAAAGCACTAAGTACTTTTGCAAACCACAGTGACAGAGAAATGCACCATTCTTTTTGACAGAAACAGTCATTTTTAATTTGTCTTTCAACAGACTAGCAATCATCTCCACACTCTTCAATGAGAGTGAGTACATAAAATAGCTTAGGTTTGTGATAAATAACTTATTTATCTAATGTTAATGCAATTCACTTAGTAGAGAAAGGGACTTTCTAACTTGTAAAGCACATTTGTTACATTAGCAACTAGTCGGCAATTAATCTAACAAGTAAGTAGAGACAGAAATGTAATAATCACTTTGGAACATTCAAGCTGACAAAGGATTCTTTCTTTTCCCATTCTTGAGAAAGTATTCATATTGGTGCATTGGAACTAATTCCGACACTGGTGGTCTCCACATATGTAATAGTAATCATTATAGACTGCATTTTCAGTGTTCCCATGATGCTAGTTTGATGGGGTGCAATATAAGTAAACAAATCTGTCTCTAAAGTAGAGGTTGGCAAACTTTTTAATAAAGGGCTAGTTGATAAATATTTTAGGTTTTGCAGGACACCTGATCTCTGTCCCCACTGCTCAGCTCTGCCTTTGAAGCATGAAAACAGCCATAGACAATACAAAAATGAATGAATGTGGCAGTGTTCCAATAAAACTTTATTCACAAAAACAAACAGTAAGCCAGATTTGGCTCATGTGCCATAGTTTGCTGACCCCTACTCTAAAACAATGTAAAATCTCTACCTGCTGTGATGTGATTTTACTATGTTTAAGTATGCCTGCTTGAAACTGTAATCTGGTCTGCATTAATGATAGAAAATTATAATTATTGAGCATCTATTATGTGCCAAGTATCAGGTGTCTAACCTACATTATCCCCAAAGCTCATAAGCATATTCCCAGAAGTTAGTATCTTTATTTCCATTTTATAGATAAAGCATACTCAGATCAGACATTTCCCAGAGTCACAAAATTAATAAGCTGTACAGACTGGATATGCCTACATCTTTCAGATAATTTCTTCTAGGTCCAATATTCCATTTTCAAGATCACCGTCATGGGTATGAACTGCTTCCTAATTGCTTATCACCCTCTTACTTAGCTAAATTTCTTTTATATTGAACTAAAAAAGCAGAATAATATGGTCTCTGTGTTATTAAAGAATTTTACCACAGCAACACTTCAGTAAAATGCCCTATTCATTCATCTTTTTTGAACTGAACTGTCCCAATGGCCATCTTAGTGCTAATAATCAAGTTTTAAAAAGCTGAAAATTCCAAATTAAAGTGACCACACAATTAGACCCAGAGTTGTTGTTTTGAAGCTATGAATTTCTGAGCGTACACTTGAGATTTTGAGGTGCTTATGAATTATTTCATTTCCATGAATCAGATGCCTTCTTAATAGTAATCACCCCTGATATTTGTACAGTTTTTTACAAAATGCCTTCATGAATTTTTTCTTCTATTGATAATCATCATAGTAGCCCACTTTTTTTTTAATATTTCAACTTTTATTTTAGATGCAGAGATTACATGTGCAGGTTTGTTACATGAGTATATTGCATGACACTGAGGTTTGGAGTACAATTGATCTCATTACCCATGTAGTAAGCATAGGACCCAATAGGTAGTTTTTCAGCCCTTGCTCCCCTCCCTCTCTCACTGCTCTGGTAGTCACCATCGTCCACTGTTCCCATCTTTATGTCCATGTGTACCCAATGTTTAGCTCTCAGAAGTGAGAACATGTGGTATTTGATTTTCCATTGCCGTGCTAAGTCCCTTAGGATCATGGCCTTCAGCTGCAACCAGGGTGTTACAGAAAACATTATTTTTTTATGGCTGTGTAGTATTCTATGGTATATAAGTGCCAAATTTTCTTTATCCTATTCAATGTTGATTGGCACCTAGACTGATTATATGCCCTTGCTATTGTGAATACTGCTTTGATGAACATACAAGTGCATGTGTCTTTTTGGCAAAATGATTTATTTTCCTTTGGGTATATACCAGTAATAGGATGGCTGGGTTGAACGGTAGTTCTGTTTTAAGCTCTTTAAGAAATCTCCAAACTGCTTTCCACAGTGGCTGAACTAATTTACATTCCCACAAACAGTATATAAGTGTTTCCTTTTCCCCACAGCCTCACCAACATCTGTTATTTTTTGACGTTTTAGTAATAGGTATTCTGACTGGTGCGAGATGGTATCTCATTGTGGTTTTGATTTGCATTTCTCTCACAATCAGTGACATTGGGCATTTTTTCATATGTATGTTGACCACTTGCGGGTCGTCTTTTGAGAAGTGTCTGCTCATGTCCTTTGCCCAATTTTTAACGGGTTTATTTATTTATTTTTGCTTATTGAATTGTTTAAGTTCCTTATAAATTCTGAGTATTAGATCTTTGCCAGACAAATAGTTTGATAATATTTTCTCCCACTCTATCAGCCACTTGTTTAGTCTGTTAATAGTTTTTTTTTTAACTGTGCAGAAGCTCTTTAGTTTAATTAGGTCTCACTTGTCAATATTCTTTGTTACAATTTGTTTTTGTTGCTTTTGAGGACTTCGACATAAATTCTTTGCCAAGGCCAACATCCAGAATGATATTTCATATGTTCTCTTCTAGGATTTCTATAATTTGAGGTCTTACATTTAAAGTTTTATTCAATCTTGAATTAATTTTTGTATATGGTGAAATGTAAGGGTCAAGTTTCAGTCTTCTGCATATTGCTAGCCAGTTATCCCAGCATTGTTTATTGAATAGGGAGACATTTCTTCATTTCTTATTTTTGTCAACTTTGTCAAAGAAGAGATGGCTGTAGGTATGTGGCTTTATTTCTGGATTCTCTATCCTGTTCCATTGGTCTTATGTGTCTGTTTTTGTCCCAGTACCATGCTTCTTTGGTTATTGTAGCCTTATAGTATAGTTTGAAGTTGGGTAATGTGATGCCTCTGGCTTTGTTCTTTTTGCTTAGGATTACTTTGGCAATTCAGGCTCTTTTTTGTTCCATATGAATTTTACAATAGCTTTTTCTAATTCTGTGAAAACTATGTTTATAGTTTGATGTAAGTAGCATTGAATCTGTAGATTGCTTTTGGCAGTATGGCCATTTTAGCAATATTGATTCTTCCGATCCATGAGCATGGAATGCTTTTCCATTTGTTTGTGTCATCTATGATTTCTTTCACCAGTGTTTTGTAGTTTTCCTTGTAGAGATCTTTTACCTCTTTGGTTAGATGTATTCCTAGGCATTTCATTTTTTCTAGCTGTTGTAAATGGGGTCGTTCTTGATGGAGCTCTCACTTTGTATAGAAATGCTACTGATTTTTGCACATTGACTTTGTATTCGGAAACTTTGCTGAAGATCAGTTCTAGGAGTCTTTCACCATAGTCTTTAGGGTTTTCTAGGTATAGAATTATATCAACGGCAAAGAGAGACAATTTGACTTCTTTTCCTATTTGGATGCCTTTTATTTCTTTCTCTTGCTTGAGTGCTCTGGCGAGGACTTTTAGTACTATATTGAACAGGAATGGTGAGAGTTGACATGCTTGTCTTATTCCTGCTCTTAAGCAGAATGCTTCCAGCTTTTGCCCATTCAGTATGATGTTGGCTGTGGGTTTGTCATAGATGGCATAAGCATAAGATGGCTTATTATTTTCACGTATGTTCCTTCACTGCCTAGTTTGTTGAGGGTTTTTATCATGAAGGGATGTTGGATCTTATCAAAACCTTTTTTCCTACGTCTATTGAGATGATCATATGGTTTTTGATATGTGTACGTTGAACCAACCTTGCTTCCCAGGAATAAAGTGTACTTGATTGTAATAGATTAAATTTTGTTGTGCCACTGGATTTGGGTTGCTAGTATTTTGTTGAGGATTTTTGCAGCTAACATTTTTTCAGTCTTCACCGTGTACCAGGCAATGGACTCAACACTTCCCATTCACCAGGTCCTCTAATTCTTCTTTGTCACTATGAGGCAAAGGTTGATACTCCTTCCATTATGAATGGCAAACTAAGCCTTGGAGAAATTAAATATTTTGTCCACAGTTATTCAGATTATATGTGGTAGAGTTGAGATTTGAAAGCAGTGCTAAAGCCAGTATGCTGCGTATAGATTTTCAGCTACCTGAAGACAGAGGCCATTCTTGACCTTTCTTTCATTGACATTTTAGTATGCCCTCCTGACAATAACTTCTTGCCTAATTCATTCATGGTATTTAAAAAGAATGTGAAATAAAATAGAAAAAGCATTGTAATATACAACATGTAAATATGTATACAACAAGCAAAAGAAATAGGGTACTAAATTGTACATAGATCATGATTACAAAATTTTTAAAAAGAAAGACAGAAAAGTATATGTAGAGTCTAGAAAAAGATTTATCAAAATTCTATTGATGGTTATGGAATTTTGAATTCAGTTATGGGTTCTTTTTTCCTTCTTTTTATTTTTGTCATCTGTTTTCTATATTTTTCATTTTTAAATAAAAGTGATGGTAACAAAAGTTTTAAATTAACAGTAAAGAGGGAAAAAATGAGAAAGTTCTTACATTGTGGTTAGCAGTTTTTAAGTATGAATCATAAAAACATCCCCTGAGGGACCAACAATCTATTTAAAGAGGCAAAGCGTGAAGTTACAGGAGGAGCCCAAGGGCACGTAGGAACAAGCTACTGTAGCCCACATCCATAGGGAAAGGGAGAAGAGAAGGAGGTTTTAATTTTTTAAGATGCATGTAGAAACAGAAACTGGCCTAAGGGGCAAATGAGTAAATGCATAGAGGTGGGAATCAGCTAGAAGTGCATCTGAGAGAGAAATGGGCCATTTTGGGGGAGAGACGATGTTTGAAGGGCAAGATTATGATGAAAGCCACCATTTTGGGGTCTTGACAAGATGAAGGCTGTGGTAATCTTCTGAAGGCACCTTCAGAAATAGAGTAGTAGCGGATGTTCCAGACTCTGGGTGTTGTGGAGCATCTTGTTTGGTTCCTGGTTGCATGGGAAGGAAAGCAAAGCGGAAGATAGTTATTCCCACCTCTCATCTCCTCCTTCTAACATATACTACAAAGTTTCTAGACTGGCATTCTTCACTGCAGAGCCAACTATATTACTTTTCTGCTCAAAATCCTTCAATGATTCCCCCTGCCTCTCCAGGCCAGTGCAAAGACTTCAGATGAGCATTTAAGGCCCTTCACATCATGGGGCCAACTTTGCCAGCATTGTCTCCAATTCCTCCCCTATGCTTCCCTAGGCTATAGTCTTATTAAATTACTTGGGGTATCCCCCTCTATGTCTGTGAAAAATTCATCAGCTCCCCTCTCTTCCCTCAATACTCCTTATACCTTCATTCATTCATTCACTCATTCACTCATTTATACCTAGCCCTAGGTTATATTTATTTGTATACTTTTCTTACCAGCAACCTAGATGGTACTTTGGAAGACTGAGATCAGGTTCTATCTGTCCTTATATCTTAACATCAAGCACAAAAACTCTGTGATCAGTATATGTCCTACAAATATTTTGCTGAGCTGAAGACTAGGATGGCTGGTAAAGACATTGATAGTAAGGCAAAATTTAGAAGTAGAGACCAAACAAAGGAAAATAACGAGTTTGACTCTGGCTTGCTTAACATTTAGGAATAATAAATGACTTTTAAGGCAAATATGGGCTTAATTCTACTTTGCTAAAGTCTAGATTTCTGGAAAAAAATTACTTGGTGAAATTCGTAATAAAAATGTGATGGTGATGAATAAGGTTTTTGCTCAGATAGCCTCCTATCCTATACCAGGTATCCATTCACTTATTTATGTATTTATTCATTCATTCAATAAACACTATGTACTATTAAAATCTAGACACTATGGAAAATGCTGAGGAAATAGCAGAAATATAAAGGAAAATAAAGTTTCTCCTCTTTGAGAATTTATAATCTACTGGGGGTAAAAATCAAGTTTTTAAAAGGGATGGAGATAGGTTCCATTCCCAACAATGAAGCACTTAGTTATTTTACATCACTCTCTCACTAAAAACAAATATAAACACTAGAAAAGACACAAGAGACATGTATTTGAGAGTCCTGAGGCAGTGTAGATTTGAGGGGCCAAGAAACTGGACAGAAGAGAAACCCATGGAGGTGCTTAAGACATTCTGTGCAGATTTTCCACTCAAGGGAATTCCTCAAGGCTGATTCGTAAAATAGTGTGGATAGAAAGTCTGGGAAGCCTAGTTTAAAAAAATAGCTACTAAGAAACAGAAACTGAGCAGAGCTTTTGGTGGTCTCATGGGGCTGGGGAGAAAAACTGAAGTTCAGGGCTATTGAGAGAGCAAAGGATAAAGACTCATAGGTGCATCAGAGAAGACAAGTAGTCCAACAGTATGAGTGGCTTATCATCTCAAGGCGTTTGCTAATTAGCAAAAGCAGCATAGAGAGAAACTGAACAAAAACCTAGAGCTAAGAAATTATGAAAATAAACACAGCATTTGAGGTTCTCACAAATAAAAATTGGCATTGAAGACTTGTCAAGGAAGAACACCCCTCGTGAACACTCAGGTTTTCAGTTAGGGTCCTTTTAGGACTATACCCAAGGAGTAAAGGAAATCAGAAATGGATAGGGGCTTTAAAGACATTTGAAGAAATTCATCCTCTAAATAGCTTAATCCTAATTGGATTCAGGAGACTTCTCCCCTTATAACCACTTGCTAGAAGCTAAAGACTCATGTAAAAACCTTCATAATCTTCATTACACATTGTCTACTATTTAATAAAAAATTAACAAGCATACCAAGAGGTGGAACTAAGAAAGAGATAATAAAAATAGACCTATAGGTGATCCAGACATTGTAGTCATTACATAGGCATTAAAATAACTATAATGAACCTGTTTAAGACAACAGATACAGTGATTTTCAAAGAACTGGAATTTGAACTGATCTTTGAAGAATACTTTGAATTTCAACTAACCAAGTACTGACTTTACAAAGAACTTAGCTTTCAGATGCAGTCCATTCTAGCCAAGGGTGGATCTCAGGGATGAGGATCAAAGGAAGAAAGGGTGGGGCTCATGATCACAGGTAAAGAGAAGAGAGTTTGAGTAGAACTGGGCAGGAAGAGAGGACAAGCATGGCCTCCCTTCCACATATAAAAAATAGGAAATCAAGAGGGTTTTCCTGTTGATTAAATATTCCTGATTGATCAGGACTAGATCAAATGCAGGAGGAAAAACAATTCATTGACGTTTATCTATTTTAGGATTTCTTCAGTAAATCTGACCCATTTCTGGAAATTTTTCGTATGAATGATGATGCAACTCAGCAGCTGGTGCACCGAACTGAGGTAAGAGTCATCTTCAGCTATGCCCTCTTATCTCCTAAGATGATGATAAATTGACCTATTTTGAGAAACTCCTTTTTGTGTGTGTGTGTGTGTTGAGGTGGAGTCTCGCTGTGTCACCCAGGCTGGAGTGCAGTGGCGCAGTCTCGTCTCACTGCAACCGCCACCTCCCAGCTTCAAACAATTCTCTGCCTCAGCCTCCTGAGTAGCTGGGACTACAGGCACCCACCACCACGCCGAGCTAATTTTTGTATTTTTAGTAGAGATGGGGTTTCACCATCTTGGCCAGGCTGGTCTTGAACTCCTGACCTCATGATCCACCCGCCTCGGCCTCCCAAAGTGCTGGGATTACAGGCGTGAGCCACCGCGCCCAGCCTCCTTTTACTTCTTAATGTCTGTAGATATCAACTAAGGCCTGAAATCTTCAGTGTCCTCAAGAAGGTTCTGCCATTTTTAGCTTTTTTTTTTTTTCACTTTTAATCCTCAATTTAGTTGTCAGAAGAGCCTTTCTAACCCCAATTTCTATTGTTAACTTTCAAAACAGACAATTAGCAACTTATTCATAATAAAAGTATAAATACTAGCTATCATTTAATGAGGATGTTTAGGCATCTAGGTGCCAAGCATTAGACTGTTATTTACATGCATAATTTTATTTCTCACAAAAATTCCTCACACATGATGATGATGATGATGACCCCCATTTTACAGTTGAAGAAACTGAACTTTAAGGAGGTTAAGTAACTTTCCCAGGTCTCACAGCTAACAAAGGATGGAACTCAGGTTTCAATTGAGGTTGTTTGACTCTGAGCTTCATGGTAATTTGGGAAGTCAATCTGCTTCCCCAGGGAAAGTACATACATTGCACTGATGTCAGTCCTATCATATGAACACCTGACCTTTCTTAGCAGCCACTTAGTCTAGTTGTATCTCCTTCTCACTCTTCCTCTTCTTTCTCCAAGTGGCCCCAACTTTATCTCTTATTACCTTACCCCCTACTACCCACTACCACACACACATTCAACAACTAACCACGATCTCCATTTTTCATTTTATTTTACTTGTAAGCCAGTCCAAGAGGGATTTTGTAGGAGTGAGGTACATTGATAAGAAGGAAGTGATATTCTTGTGCTGAATTACTTGGAGCTGAGAGAAGACCCAGTTATGCTTGCATACCATTTGCAGAGTGAAAATAAAAAAGAAACCCCCATGACTTTCATAAGGTGGTGGTGTGGTTGCTATATCCCCAAAACATCACATTGGAAATTCAATTTCCTGAAGTGACAGAGTTGCAGGTGTTGTTAGGGGAATGTTTCATGTCATTGTTATGATAGACAAAAATTAAATAGCCTTGGATGGGCTAGCTGTGGATATCATCTGATACAAAGTTGATATCTAAAAAAAGTGTTTAATAAAAGAATAAATAAATAAATGCTGTTAAATATAAATAGTATGTCTATTGCATGCTATAGAACAATGTAATTCTTTGGAACTTAATCCATGAAGAATAAATTGAGGTGCAGCTAGCACAGTTGCCCTGAGTGGCATCTCATTACCACCACCAAAAGAGGTCTTTCACCCGTTAAGTTTCCTTATGTGAAACAAACTTCTTTTGAGGGAAATAGAGCAAGATGGCCAAATAGAAGCCTCCACTAATCATCCTCTAATTATCCTACCCATAAGAACACCAAATTAAACAACTCTCCACACACACACAAAAAGCACTTTCATAAGAACCAAACATCAGGTGAATGACCACAGTACTTGGTTTTAACATCGTTATCACTGAGAGAGACACTGAAGAGGGTAGGAAAGACAGTCTTGAATTGTTGATACTACTCCTCCCTCATCCGCTTGGTAGTGGCTGTGTGGTGCAGATACAGAATCTGTGTGCTTGGGGAAGAGACAGTGATTATGGGACCTTGCACTGGAACTCAGTGCTGCCCCATCACAGCAGAAAGCAATACTGGGCATAACTCATCCTGCGCCCATGGAGGAAGAATTTAAACCAGTCCTAGCCAGAGGGAATCACTCACATCAGTAGTAGAAACCTGAGTTCTGGCAATCTTTGCCACTGCAGGCTGAAGGGCTCTGGGGTCCTAAATAAATTTGAAAGGCACTCTAAGCCACAAATACTGCAATTCCTGGGCAAGTACTGGTGCTCTGCTGGACTCATAGCCAGTGGGCTATGAGGGTATACAACCTAGTGAGACACCAGCCAAAGTCACCAAGGGAATGCCTGCACCACCCCTCAGGTGCATGCACCACCAAGGAATGCGTGCCCCATACCCTAAGCAGTGCAGCACACGGCTCCAGGAGACACTCCTCCCTCCCACTTGAGGAGAGGAGAGGAAAGCATAAATATAACTTTGTCTTGCAACTTGGATACCATCTCAGCCACAATAGAATAGGGCACCAGGCAGAGTCCTGAGGTCCCCATTCCAGGCCGTAGCTCCGAGACGACATTTCTAGACAAACCCTGGGCCAAAAGGAAGCCTACTGCCTTGAAGGGAAGCAGGATCCATTACCTTCTGAATAAAAATCTCTTGGTCCCCAAATAATCAGCAGTTGTAGCCAGGCTGTACTCACCATGGGCCTTGGGTGAAACACAGAGACATGGTGGCTTTAGATGTGATGCAGTGCATTCCCAGCTATGGTGGCTATTGGGAGATATTCTGCTTGAGCAAAGGACAGGGACAAGTAGAGGGGACTTGATTTTGCAACTTAGGTACCAGCTCAGCCACAGTGAGATAGAGCAGCAATTGGGCTCTTGGGGTCCCCGATTAAAGACTTTGGCTCTTGCACAGCATTTCTGGACTGGCTTTGGGTAAGAGAGGAGTCCACTTCCCTGAAGAGAGAGTCCTATGCCTGGGAGCATTCACCACAAGCTGACTAGTGAATATTTGGGCCCTGAGTGAACGTTGGTGGTAGGCAGGCAGTACTTGCTGTGGTCCTAGGGTGGTGGTGGCCAAGGGAGAGGCTACTCTGCTTGTGGAAAGGGGAGGGAAGAGTGGGAAAAACTTTGTCTTATGGCTTGGGTACTAGCTCAAACACAGTAGAATAGAGCATGAGGTAGAGTCCTAAGGTTTCCGACTCCAAGCTCTGGCTCCCAGATGGCATTTCTGGACCTGCCTGGGACTGGGAGGAACTCACTAACCTGAAGGGAAGGACATAGCCTGGCTGACTTTGCCATCTCCTGATTGTAGAGTACTAGAGCCTTGTGTGAACATAGGTAGTAGCCAAGCACGGTTATCCTAGGCCTTGGGTGAGACTCAGTGCTATGCTGGCTTCACATCTGACCCAGTGCAGTCCAGTGGTGGCAGCCACAGTGGTGCTCGTGTCACCCCACCTTTAACTCCAGGCAGCTCATTACAGACAGACTCCATTGGTTTGGGAGAAAGTAAAGGAAGAGGAGAAGGGTTTCCACCTGGTAATCCAGGGAATTCTTCCAGATCTTATCCAAGACCACCACTGTACCTCTACAAGTCTGAAAGAGCCCAGCATCACTGAGCTTGGGATGCCCCCTAATGCAGATACAGTCACAGTGACCAAAAACAGACCACGACACCCAAATCCCTTTGAATACCTGGAAAGCCTTCCCAAGAAGGATGGTACAAACAAGCCCAGGCTGCAAAGACTACAGTAAATATATAAATCTTCAATATCCAGATATACTGGTGAATATCTACAAGCATCAGGACCATTCATGAAAACATGCCCTCAACAAACAAACTAAATAAAGCACCAGAGACCAATCCTGGAACAAAAGAGTTATGTGACCTTTCAGATAGAGGATTCAAAATAGCTATTTTGAGGAAACTTGAGGAAATTCAAGATAACACAGAGAAGGAATTCAGAAGCCTATCAAATAAATTTAACAAAGAGATTGAAATAATTGTAAGAAATCAAGCAGAAATTCTGGAGTTGAAAAATGCAAATGACACACTATATAAGGTATCAAATTATCCTAACAGCAGAATTGATCAAGCAGAAGAAAGAATTAGCTTGAAGATAGGCTATTTGAAAACAGACCATCAGAAGAGATAAGAGAAAAAAGAATGTTTAAAAATGAAGCATGCCTACAAGATCAGGAAAATAGCCTCAAAAGGACAAATCTAAGAGTTATTGGCCATAAAGTATAAGGAGAAAAAGAGATAAGGGTGGAAAGTTTATTCAAAGGGATAATAAGAGAGAACTTCCCAAACTTAGAAAAAGATATCAACATTCAAGTACAAGAAGGTTATAGAACACCAAACAGATATAACCCAAATAAGATGACTTCAAGACAGTTAATAATCAAACCCCCAAAGGTCTAAAGAAAATATCCTAAAAGGAATAAGAGAAAAGAAAAACAAATTACGTACAATACAGCTCTAATACATCTGACGCAGAATTCTCAGTAGAAACCTTAAAGACCGGGGGAGAGTGGTGTAACATATTTAAAGTGCTGAAGGAAAAAACTTGTATCCTAGAATGGCATATCCAGCAAAAATATTCTTAATTATGAAAGAGAAATAAAGACTTTCCTAGACAAACAAAAGCTGAGGGATTTCATTAACACCAGAACTGTAAAGGAAGTTCTTCAATCTGAAACAACACAACATTAATGAGCAATAAGAAATCATCTGAAGGTTCAAAACTCACTGGTAATAGCAAATACACAGAAAAACACAGAATATTATAATGCTCTAATTGTGGTGTGTAAACTACCAATATTTTGAGTAGAAAGGGTAAAAGATAAACTGGTCGCATGTTTATAGCAGCACAATTTGCAATTGCAAAAATATGGAAACAGCCCAAATGTCTATCAGTCAATGAGTGGATAAAGAAATTGTGGTATTTATATACCATGGAATACTACTTAGCCATAAAAAGGAATGAATTAATGGCATTCACAGCAACCTGGATGGAACTGGAGATTATTATTCTAAGTGAAGTAACTCAGGAATGGAAAACCAAATATTATATGTTCTCACTTACAGGTGGTAGCTAAGCTAAGATACAAAGGCATAAGAATGATGCTATGGACTGTGGGGACGCAGGGGAAAGGGTGGGAGGGGGTTGAGCGATAAAAGACTACAAACTGAGTGCAGTGTATACTGCTCAGGTGATGGGTGCACCAAATCTCACAAATCACCACTAAAGAACTTACTCATGTAACCAAATACCACCTGCCCCCAAAAACCTATAGAAATAAAAAAATTAAATAAATAAAATACATTTCTGTGGGGAAAAGAAGACATAACACTCCCTTAGAAAGAAAGTATAATGAAATACTTTTATTTTTCTATTTATTTTCTTTCTATGAAAGGAAATTAAAAAATATTAACTACAACAACTTTTCAAGACAGAGTCATTAAAATAATATATAAACAGAAACAAAAAGTTAAAAAGCTGGGGGACAAAGTTAAAGTGTAGTGTTTTTATTAATTTTTTCTTTGCTTGTTTGTTAGTTTGTCTGTTTCTTTATGTAATCAGTGTTGAGTTGTTGTCAGTTGAAAATAATGGGTTTTGGTACGTAGTCTTCAAAAGACACATCTCACATGCAAGGTCTCTTGACACATATAGGCTCAAAATAAAGGGATGGAGGAAAATTTACCAAGCAAAAGGAAAAAAAAAAAAAAGCAGGGGTTGCAATCCTAGTTTCCAACAAAACAGACTTTAAACCAACAAAGATCAAAAAAGGCAAAGAAAGCCATTACATAATGGTAAAAGTTTTAATTCAGCAAGAAGAGCTAACTATCCTAAATATGTATGCACCCAACATAGGAGCACCCTGATTCATATAGCAAGTTTTTAGAGACCTTCAAAGAGATTTAGACCCCCACACAATAATAGTGGGAGACTTTAACACCCCACAGACAATATTAACAAATTATCAAGACAGAAAATTAACAAAGATATTCAGGACCTGAACTCAGCACTGGATCAAATGGACCTGATAGATATCTACAGAACTCTCCATGCAAAACAATAGAATATACATTCTTCTCACCACCACATGGCACTTACTCTAAAATTAATCACATAATCTCAAGCAAAATACTCGTCAGCAAATGAGAAAGCACTGAAATCATAAAAACAGCTTCTTGGACCACAGCACAATCAAATCCGAACTCAAGACTAAGAAATCCACTCAAAACCATACAATTACATAAAAATTGAATAACCTGTTCCTGAATGATTTTGGGGTAAATAATGAAATTAAGGCAGAAATCAGGGAGTTCTTTGAAACTAATGAGCACAAAGACACAACGTACCACAATCTCTGGGACACAGTTAAAGCAGTATTAAGAGGGAAATTTATAGCACTAAAATGCCCAATCAAAAAGCTAGAAAGATCTCAAGTTAACAACCTAACATCACAACTGAAAGAACTTGAGAACCAAGATCAAACAAATCCCAAAGCTAGCAGAAGACAAGAAATAACCAAAATCAAAGCTGAACTGAAGGAGATAGAGAGACAAAAAACCATTCAAAAGATTGATGAATCCAGGAGCAGGTTTTTTTTTAATAATATTATAGTAGACCACTAGCTATACTAATAAAGAAGAAAAGGGAGAAGATTCAAATAAACACAATCAGAGATAATAAGAGGGATATTACCACTGACCCCACAGAACTACAAACAACCATCAGAGAATGTTATAAACACCGCTATGCACATAAACTAGGAAATCTAGAAGAAATGAATAAATTCCTGGACAGATAGATACACTCTCTCAAGACAGAACTAGGAAGAAATAGAATCTCTGAACAGACCAATAACGAGTTTTGAAATAGAGGCAGTAATAAATAGCCTACCAACCAACCAAAGCCCAGGACCAGACAGATTCAAAGCTTAATTCTACCAGATACACAAAAAATAGTTGGTACCATTACTACTGAAACTATTTCAAAAAATTGGAGGGACTCCTCCCTAACTCATTCTATGGGGCCAGCATCATCCTGATAACAAAAGCTGGCACAGACACAACAACAAAAAAAGAAAACTTCAGCGTAATATCCTTGATGAACACTGATGCAAAAATCTTCAGCAAAATACTGGCAAACCAAATCCAGCAACACATCAAAAAGCTTATCCACCATGAGGCTTCATCCCCAGGATGCAAGGTTGGTTCAATGTAGGCAAATCAATAAATGTGATTCATCACATAAACAGAACAAAAGACAAAAACCACAAGATTACCTCAATAGATGCAGAAAAGGCTTTCAACAACATTTAACATTCCTTAATGTTAAAAACTCCCAATAAACTGTGTATTGAAGGAACATACCTCAAAATAATAAGAGCCATATATGACAAACCCACAGACAACATCATACTGAATGGGAAAAAGCTGGAAGTATTCCCCTTGAAAACTGCCACAAAACAAAGATGCCCTCTCTCACCACTCCTATTCAACATAATATTGGAAGTTCTTGACAGAGCAATCAGGCGAGAGAAAGAAATAAAGGGCATTCAAATAGGAAGAGAGGAAGTCTAACTATCCCTGTTTGCAGATGACATGATCCTATATCTAGAAAACCCCATCGTCTCAGCCCGAAAGCTTCTTAAGCTAATAAACAACTTCAGTAAAGGTCTCAGAATACAAAATCAATGTGCAAAAATTGCTGGCATTCTTATACACCAACAACAATCAAGCCAAGAGCCAAATCATGAATGAACTCCCATTCACAATTGCTACTAAAAAAAAAGAGTGACATGCCTAGAAATACAGCTAACAAGGAAACTGAAAGATCTACCAAGAGAACTACAAACCACTACTCAAAGAGATCAGAGATGACACAAAGAAATGGCAAATTATTCCATGCTCATGCATAGGAATAATCAGTATCATTAAAATGGGCATATTCCCAAAGCAATTTATACATTCAATGCTATTCCTATTAATCTACCACTGACATTCTTCACAGAACTAGAAAAATCTATTTTAAAATTTGTATGAAACCCAAAAAGAGCCCAAATAACCAAGGCAATCCAAAGCAAAAAGAACAAAGCTGGAGGCATCACGCTACCTGATTTCAAACTATATTACATGGCTACAGTCACCAAAACAGCATGGTACTGGTATAAGAACAGACACATAGACCAATGGAACAGAATAGAGAACTCAGAAATATGACCACCCACCTTCAACTATCTGATCTTCAACAAACCTGACAAAAACAAGCAATGGGGAAAGGACTCCCTATTCAATAAATTGTGCTGGGATAACTGGCTAGTCATATGCAGAAGATTGAAACTGGACCCCATCTTTACACCATAAAGAAAAATTAACTCAAGATGGATTAAAGACTCAAATGTAAAACCCAAAACTATAAAAACCCTGGAAGACAACCTAGGCAATACCATTTAGGACATAAGCATGGGCAAAGATTTCATAATAAAGATGCCAAAAGCAATTGCAACAAAAGCAAAAATTGACAAATGGGATCTAATTAAACTAAAGAGCTCCTATGCAGCAAAAGAAACTATCAACAGAGTAAACAGACAACCTAGAGAATGGGAGAAAATTTTTGCAAACTGTGCATCTGAATGAGGTCTAATATCCAGCGTCTATAAGGAACTTAAACAAATTTACAAGAAAAAAACTCATTAAAAAGTGGGCAAAGGTACCCTGAAACTTAAAGTATAATAATAATAAATAAATAAATAAAAAAGTGGGCAAAGAACATGAACAGACACCTCTTAAAAGAAGACATACATGTGGCCAACAATCATATGAAAAAAAGCTCAACATCATTGATCATTAGAGAAATGCAAATTAAAACCACAATGAGATACCATCTCACACCAGTCAGAATGGCTACTATAAAAAGTAAAAAAAAAAACAGATGCCGGAGAGGTAGTGGAGAAAAAGGAATGCTTTTACACTGTTGGTGGGAGTGTAAATTAGTTCAACCATCGTGGAAGACAGTGTGGTGATTCCTCAAAAACCTCGAGACAGAACTATCATTCAACCCAATAATCTCATTACTGGATATATACCCAAAGGAATATAAGTCATTGTTATAAACATACATGCACACGTATGTTCACTGCAGCACTATTCACAATAACAAAAACATGGAATCAACCCAAATGCCCATCAATTATAGACTGGATAAAGAAAATGTGGTACATATACACCACGGAATACTATGCAGCCATAAAAAAGAATGAGATCATGTTTTTGCAAGGACATGGATGGAGCTAGGGGCCATTATTCTTAGTAAACTAATGCATGAACAGAAGACCAAATACAGCATGTTCTCACTTATAAGTGGGAGCTAAATTATGAGAACACACGGACATATAGAGGGAAACAACACACACTGGGGCCTATCAGAGGGCAGAAGGTGGTAGGAGGGAGAGAAGTAGGAAAAATAACTATTGGATACTAGGCTTAATACCTGGGTGATGAAATAATCTATACAACCAACCCCCATTCAACGCATTTACTTATGTAACAAACCTGCACATCCTGCATATGTACCCCTGAAACTAGAAGTTAAAAATAAATAAATAAAATAATGGGCCAGCCTCAGTGGCTCACACATGTAATCCCAGGACTTTGGGGGGCCAAAGCAGGCAGATCACTTGAGACCAGGAGTTGGACACCAGCCTGGCCAACATGGTAAAACCCCATCTCTAGTAAAAATACAAAAATTAGCCAGGCATTGTGGTGTGTGCCTGTAATCCCAGCTACTAGGAAGGAGGCTGAAGGAGCAGAATTGCTTGAACCTACGAGGTGGAGGTTGCAGTGAGCTAAGGTTGTACCACTGCATTCCAGCCTGGACAACAGAATGAGACTCCATCTCAAATAATAATAATAATAATAATAATAATAATAATAATAATAATAGGTTATAACATAATATTTGCAAGCCTCATGGTAACCTCAAATTGAAAAACAACAGATACACCAAAAAAAACCCAATAAATTTAAAAAAACATAAACCAGAGAAAAATTACCTTCACTATAAGGAACACAGGAAGGAAGGAAAGAAGAAGAAGGAAGAGAAGACCACAAAACAACCAGAAAACAAAAACCCTAATGGCAGGAGTAACCCCTTACCTATCGATAATAACATTGAATGTAATGGGACTAAACACTCCAATAAAAAGACATAGGGTTGCCGAATGGATAAAAACAAGATCCAGTGATATTTAGACTACAAAAAATACACTTTACCTATAAAGAGACAGACTAAAAATAAAAGGATGGAAAAATGTATCCCATGCAAATAGAAACCAAAAAAGAGAAGGAGTAACTATACTTACATCAGACAAAATAGATTTCAAGACAAAAACAATGAAAAGAGAAAAAAATTATATAATGATCAAGGGGTTAATTCAGCGAGAGAATATAGCAGTTGTAAATACATGTGCACCCAATACTGAAGCACTCAGATATATAAAGAAAATATTATTAGAGCTAAGGAGAGAGATAGACCTCAATACAATAATAGCTGGAGACTTCAACACCCCATTTTCAGCATTGGATAGATCATCCAGTCAGAAAATCAACAAAGAAACCTTGGACTTCATCTACACCATAGGCCAAATGGACCTAATAGATATTTACAGAACATTTCAACTAATGACTGCAGAATATGCATTCTTCTCTTCAGCACATGGACCATTCTCAAGGATAGACCATGTATTTGATCACAAAACTACTCTTAAAATATTCAGAAAAACTGAAATAATATCAAGTATCATATCTGATGACAATGGCATAAAACTAGAAATCAATAACAAGAGGGATTTTGGAAACTGTACAAATACATGGAAATCAAGCAATATGCTCCTGAATGACCAGTGGATCAATGAAGAAATTAAGAAGGAAATGTAAACATTTCTTAAAACAAATGAATATGAAAATAAAACATACCAAAACCTATGGAATATATGAAAACAGTACTTAAAAGAAAGTTGATAGCTACAAATGCCTATATCAGACAAGTAGATAAGTTTCAAATAAACAACCTAAAATGTATCTCAAAGAACCAGAAAAGGAAGAGCCAAAAAACTCCAAAATTAGTAGAAGAAACTAAATAATAATGATTATATCAGAAATAAATGAAATTTAAATGAAGAAAATAATAAAAAAATCAATAAAACAAAAAGTTAGTTTTTTGAAAAGATAAAGAAAATTGATAAAACTTTAGCCAGATTAAGAAAAAAAGACAGAATACCCAAATAAATAAAATTAAATCTGAAGACATTATAACAAATACTGCAGAAAATTAGTGGATCATTGAGGTTACTATGAGCAACTATATGCCAATAAATTGGAAAACCTGGAAGAAATGGATAAACTCTTACACCCATACAATCTACCAAGATTGAACCATAAAGAAAGCCAAAACTTGAACAGATCAATATCAAATAACAAGATCAAAGTCATGATAAAATGTCTCCTGGCAAAGAAAAGCCTGGAAACTGATGGCTTCACTGCTGAATTCTACCAAACATATTGGTAGAATTTTAAAAAGAACTAATACCAATCCTACCTGAACTATTTTAAAAAAGGAGGAAGGAATACTTCCAAACTCATTCTATGAGGCTAGTATTGCCCTGATACCAAAACCATACAAAGATACATCAAAAAAAGAAAACTACAGGCCAATATCCCTGATGAACATTGATACAAAAATCCTCATTGAAATCCTAGCAAACTTAATTCAACAACACATGAAAAAGATCATGCACCATGACCAAGAGGGATTTATCCCAGGGATGCAAGAATGGTTTAACATATGCAAATCAATCAATGTGATACATCATACCAACAGAATGAAGGACAAAAATCATATGCTCATTTCAATTAATACTGAAGAAGCATTTGATACAATTCAACATCCCTTCATGATAAAAAAAAATGCAAAAAACTGAGTATAGAAGAAACATACGTCAACACAACAAAAGCCATATACAACAGCCCACAGCTAGTATCATGCTGAATTGGGAAAAACTGAAAGCCTTTCCTCTAAGATCTGGAAAAAGACAAGGATGCCCACTTTCATCACTGTTATTCAACATGGAAATGGAAGTCCTAGCTGGAGCAATCATAGAAGAGAAAGAAATAAAGGGCATTCAAATTGAAAAGGAAGAAGTCAATTTATACTTGTTTGCAGATGATATAATCTTATATTTGGAAAAACCTAAAGACTCTACAAGAAAACTGTTAGAACTAATAAACTCAGCAAAGTTGCAGATACAAAATCAACATAAAAAATCAGTGGCATTTCTATATTCCAGCAGCAATCTGAAAAAGAAATCATGAAAATAATCCCATTTATAATAGCTACAAATAAAAGGAATTCACTTACCAAAAAAGTGAAAGATCTCTACAATGAAAACAGTAAAATATTGATGAAAGAAACTGAAGAGGACACAATACAATGGAAAAATAGTCCATGTTCAGGGATTAGAAAAATTAATATTATTAAAATGTGCATACTACCCAAAGCAATCTACAGATTCAATGCAATCTTTATCAAAATACCAATGACATTCTTCACAGAACTAGAAAACACAATCCTAAAATTTATATGAAACTATGAAAGACCCAGAATAGCCGAAGCTATCCTAAGCAAAAAGAACAAAACTGGAGGAATCACATTACCTGACTTCAATTTATACTACAAAGTGACAGTAAACAGCACGGTACTGGCATAAAAACAGACACATAAACCCATGGAACAGAATAGAGAACCCAGAAACAAATTCATACACATGCATTGAGTTCATTTTTGACAAAGGTGCCAAGAACAGACATTATGGAAAGGATAGTCTCTTGAATAAATGGTGCTGGGAAAACTGGATATCAATATGTGGAAGAATGAAACTAGACCCCCATCTCTTACCATATACAAAAATCAAATCAAAATGGATTAAAGACATAAATTTAAGACTTCGAACTGTGAAAATACTAAAAGAAAACATTAGGGAAACTCTCTAAGTCATTGGACTGGGTAAAGATTTCTTGAATAATACCCCACAAGCACAAGCAACCAAGCAAAAATGGACAAAGGGGATCACATCAAGTTAAAAAAAAATTCTGCACTGCAGAGGAAGCAATAAAAAAAGTGAAGAGAAAACCCACAGAATGAGAGAAAATATTTGCCAACTATCCATCTGACAGGGGGTTAATAACCAAAAGATATAAGGAGCTCAAACAACTCTATGAGAAAAAAAATCTAATAATTCAATTTGGAAATGGGCAAAAGATATGAATAAACATTTCTCAAAAGAAGACATACAGATGGCAAATAGATATGTGAAAAGGTGCTCAACATCATTGATCATCAGAGATATGCAAAACAAAACTGCAATGAGATAGCACTCACCTCAGTTAATATTAACTTTTTTGGATAAATTCAAAAGGCCATAATAAATACTGGCAAGGATGCGGAGAAAAGGGAACTGTCATATACTGTTGGTGGAAATGTAAATTAGTATAATCATTGTGGAGAATAGTTTGGAGGTTCCTCAAAAAATTAAAAATAGAACAACCATATGACCCAGCAATCACACTGCTAGGTATATACCCAAAAGAAAGGAAATCAGTATATACAGGAGATATCTGCCCTCCCATATTTATTGCAGCACTATTCATAATAGCTAAGATTTGGAAGCAACCTACAAGTCTATCAATAGATGAATGAATAAAGAAAATGTGGCACATATACACAGTGGAGTACTATTCCGTACTCTAAAAAGTACAAATAAAATTCTGTCATTTGTGACAACATGGATAAAACTGGAGGTCTTTATATTAAGTAAAATAAGCTAAGTACAGAAGGACAAACTTCACATGTTCTCACTTATTTGTGGGAGCTAAATATTAAATATAAAAACAACTGAACTCATGGAGATAGAAAATACAATGATGGACAGCAGAGGCTGCGAAGGGTAGTAGGGGAGGAGGGAAGTAATAATGGTTAATGAGTACAAAATATCTAGTTAGAATGAATAAGATCTAGTATTTGACAGAACAATATGGTGACTACAGTCAACAATAATTTATTACATATTTTATAATAACCAAAACAGTATAAGTGGAATGTTTCTAACATAAAGGATAAATTCTTGAAGTAACAGCCCAAAAAATAAAAAATTGAAAGGATGACTATTGCTGTACTTTTCTTCCAGAACCTCCTCTCCTCTGCTCCTGAGAGCATTCTTCTCATTGATATTGGTAAATTCTCCTGTTCCCAAGAATTTCTATAATATCCCCTTTTACTCTAATGGGGAGGTGCTCCTAGAGTTTCACAAGGAACATGATGGCAAGGTTTTCCGATGAGTGAAGCAACATGACATTGATTTCTCTTGCTTTCTCAGTAGATACAAAATAAATACCAGGCAAAACTGCTCACTTGTGGGTAGCCTGCACGTACACACACACACACACACACACACACACATGTGTACACTCATACATACATACACATAAAGATTTTAACTTCAGAGGAAATTTCTAGTTGCTATTGAGTTTTTCAAAACTGTTGCATGAGACTTCTTCACTTTTTAGCATTTTCATATAAAGTTGGGAAATTTATTTTAACCCAAACAATTTTTTACCTAATTCTCCTTCTTGCTATCATTTTAATCATCCTAAGTGTACTAGAACACATGACAAAGTCACACAGAAACATTATTTCTCCACTTCAATGCATTAGAAGAAATTTAACAATGAGTCTAGGATCTAGTTATATTAAGGAATCCGGTGGAAGAGGGAATCACTTATAAAAGAATTATGTTATTTGGATAGATAATTAATTAAAAAACAAATTCTAGGTCGGGTGCTGTGGCTCACGCTTGTAATCCCAGCACTCTGGGAGGCCGAGGTGGGTGGATCACCCGAGGTCAGTAGTTCAAGACCAGCCTGACCAACATGGAGAAACCCTGTCTCTACTAAAAATACAAAATTAGCTGGGTGTGGTGGCACATGCCTGTAATCCCAGCCACTTGGGAGGCTGATGCAGGAGAGGTTGTAGTGAGCCAAGATTGCACCATTGCACTACAGCCTGGGCAACAAAAGCAAAAATCCATCTCAAAAAAAAAAAACAAAAAATTCCAAGACTTCCACTAACTAAAGACTTCCTAAGTAGAAAAATCAATATGACAGAATTCCATTTAACTTTATTTGTATATCCCCTAGAGCAGTGGTTCTGAAACTTTGTGCCTCAGAATCACCCAGGAGACCCACCTCCAGAGTGTCTGTCGGTAGTTCTGGGTGGGGACTAGAAATTTGTGTTTTTAAGAAGTTTCCAGGTGATGCAGCTCCTGCTGGTCCAGGAACCACACTTTGGGAATCCCTGCCCTCAAGTACACAGTACAATGCTAGGCACAGAGCAGCTACTCATACATTCTGAACCAAATTGAATTATTTGAACCATAGTTATGGCAAGATAAGATTTGACTCATATAGATTCTTAGGCCAGGATTAGCCAAGTTTGTGATTAGTAAAGTGGTTTTAAAAGGGTTTTCCTATGTTATAGACATAGTTTATAATCTTAAGATCTGCTTTGTCACGCCTTTCCAGGATATTGTAATTGAGTTGGTGATAAGCTAGTATAAGTATGGTCCTGGGATTTTTCTTCTAGAAACTTCTCTTCTGACTTGCAATCTGATGTGACTCAAGGTCACAGATTACCAGACCATCCAATTATTTAGCAGCAGAGTTGTCTTGCTATACCCTTCACCCTACTAAGAGTCTTTACCTTTGCTGACCCCAAGAGAAGAGAATTTATACTGTAAGACTGACAGTCCTACAGAACTGAGAATTCTCTATCAATGGGCAAAGGCAGCCCTATCCTTAATTTCAACTCCTTTTGATATAGAAGGGATCATTCTCAGCATCCACATGCTGGAAAATATTATTGGCATTATTCATGAAACAACGGCCAGGACAGTGACCACAGGAGTTCTGTGCATAATGACCTGCTTAGTGGGTACCCTTAAAAGATTTACTACATCAAGTTTTTATTAAGGCACCTCTTCCAGGCTATTGTTCTTTTCATAAGCATCACAATGGTTTCTCAAGCAGTTTTAATGTGGAAATGTGAAAATGTCAAGCATTTCTCCCCCACTCACCACTCCTCTCTTTCTTTTCCCAGGTTGTGATGAATAACTTAAGCCCAGCCTGGAAATCATTCAAAGTATCTGTAAATTCTCTATGCAGCGGAGACCCAGACCGCCGGCTAAAGGTCAGAAATCTGTGTCCAAGAAATGTGATTTTTTAAAAAAAGTATTTAATCTTCCTATTTCTTTTCAAAATAATATTGACAAACCCCAAATTTTCTTTACACTGTACCCAACCCTCTCATCTTTTAGCATCTCGATGGAAGAAACAAGGGCTATTTCTTCTTCTAGAGCCATTGAAGCTTATGTGAAAGCCCAAAATCAATTCCAATTATGTTATATCAAGAGGCAAAACCCATGTCTTCTGAAAGACAAAACCATGGCAATAAATTCAGGTTATAAATGAGAGTTATTAAAATGAAAATAGTGTCATATCAATTATCTACTGTTATATAACAGAATAATGCAAAATTTAGTAGCTTAGAACTAGAAGCATTTATTTAGCTTATGATTCTGAGTACTGACAAGTTGGGATGAACTAATCTAGGTGATTCTTCTGTTGATCTTGCCTGGACTTTCTCAGGCATTTGTGGTCAGCTACCCAAGAGGAGGGTGGTTCTGCTTCTGGAGGTTGGCTGGCTGTGGTCTGGAATGAGAGAAGGGGTGGGGCCATATGGCTCTCATCATCCCCAGGCCAGCTTGGACTAACACACACAGTGAACTTAGGGTTCGAAGAATGCAAGAACAGAGCCCCATAAGACCTCTTTAGGGCCTAGGCTCAGAACTCACACAGGTCACTTCCTCCACAGTCTAGGTCAAAGCAAGTCACATGGTCATTACAGATTTAAAAGGTAAGGAGATAGACTACATCTCTTGGTGGAAGAAGCTCCAAAGTATCGTGGCCACTTTTTCGATCTATCACGAAGGCTTTCTGAGCACCTTGGGAATGTAAAAGTTGGAAGAAAATATGCATTCAAAGTCACCAAAGGAAGACAGTAGGCTGAACGCCAGGAGCAGATTTCAGGAGATGTTTTTATAGGCCATGCTCTGGCCTTTCCTCTACCTTGAAAGTCTAGACGTTCCTTGTTGTCAATGGCCCGGAGGTGATTCAACCAATTAAGGATAACTAAGCAAATCTACTGGAGACTGGTGCCTATAAACTAAAAGGCCAATTGATTAATGTTCAGTGAAAAACACAACCATCAAGCAGTAATATCAGCTTCACCAGGGCATTTTCTTGTGGGCAAACCACAGAGAAGACAATCATCAGAAGGTTGCTGTTATTGCCTGAAATCAGAATTGGGTAACTGAGACAGTTAATGGCTTCAGACTCTGAAAACCAGGAGTGCCCACCTCCACTGTCCATCAGGCAGACTAAACATTCATGTTGACTTCTCAGGACAACTAATCCCCTGGAAAGTGTTAGCTGGGTAGCTGGACATTGATGATGTTTGCCTTAGTAGTTTTACATTTTCCTCACTACTTTTGCCCCACAAACCTTCTGACAGATACAATTTTTTGATTCATTGATATGATCTGTCAGGTTAGAATCCCATCTGATTGGTTAATCTCAAGCTCTTTAAGGTTGCTTTATATGTCTTTGCTTAAATCCATTCTGTATGAGCTTTGCAGTTGAACTCTTAGCAGACATGTTCACTTCCATGTTCTTGAGGAGCAACTCAGAGTTGCACCTGGTATCTCTGTAAGAACTGAGATATTTCAAGCCTCAACCCCACTGGAAACCTTCAAGCCAAAATCAGGATTCCTGGCTATTTGGTCCTTCATGTGGAAGCTCCTATGCAGAATGGCCAAGAGCTGTGACTTCAGGCATAGGATGGCAATTATCACTTACACGTTGAGTAGCACCCTCCTATTCCCAGGGAGGTAAATGACCCTCTTTGGCCAGAAATAAAATAATACCTCCTTTAGCCATATATCTACTTTTTATGAGGAGTCATTAAACTTTTTATGAGGAGGATAAAAGGAGAGGGTCATCTGTAATTGAATAAATAAAAATGCAGAAAAGGAACACTTTGTGGCTTTCTGAGTGCTCTGCTGCCTGTAGAGAAATAAGTAGGAGGTAAGGAAATAGATGATTGATTGATAGATGATAGAGGAGAGAAAGAAAGAATGTGAGAAGGAAGAATAGAGGAAAAGAAGGAAAAAAAGAAGAAAGGAAAGAAAAAGGAAGGAAGGGAGGGGGGAGAGAAGGATCAGGGTTTCTCCACACGTGCACTATTGACGTTTGGATTTTCCTGTGGGGAGCTGTCCTGTGCCTGTAGGATCCTTAACAGCAACCCTAGCTACTAGATGCCAGTAGCATTTCACCCCCGTCACATACACACTCACACACCCTGCTGCCTGTGTCAGTCTGAAAATCAAAAGTGTATTCAGACATTGCCAAATGTTCTCTAGAGTGTAAAATCACTTCCAGTTAAGAACCACTGGTATAGTACATCAAACTTATTATACATTAGAGTCACCTGGGAGCCTTGTTAAACTCCTCAAGAACCTATGAAAATGTTTTAATTTCTTTCAAAATCAGAAGAAGAGAATGAACATGTAAGATTAACTAAAATATTCTAATTTTTTTTTCTTGCATCAGAAAGCAACGAACTTTTTAGGGTCCATGAAAATCTGTTGTGTTAAAAGGGGCCCATGAAGGCAAAAGTGCCAATGAAAGTCACACTGTGTTCCTATCCCAAACATCTTGTCATCTCATCAGAAAATACTTCAGTATGTATTGCTAACATTGCTAACAGATAATAAATCTTTCCATTAATAAAACTATAAAACATTATTCTTAAGAATGCTAACTATACTTCCTTAATGCCACCAAATATTCTGCCATTGTTTATGTTTGCCAGAGTCTCTCATTTATTAAACAATTGTTTCTATTTGTTTAAGTGAAGATTTAAACAAGGTCTAAGCACTGTATTTGACTGAGATGTCTCTGAAGCCTCCTTTAATCAGTTCGTTCTCGCTCCCCTTTTTTTTCCCCCTGTAATTTACTTAGTGAAGAAACCAGGCTGGTTTGTCCCATAGCATTTCTCACATTCTGTGTTTCCTATAAATGCATATTTAGAACTTGATCAGATTTCAGGGTCTGTTTTCTGGCAAGAATGCCCCAGTATTATTAACAATTTATGGATTTTTTAAATATATTTCAGTGTTTCCATCTATTTCAGTTATTATAATTCCTTTGAAATCTTAAGTTGTCCCATATTTGGCCAATAAAAGCTTCTTCAAGTTGGCTCTTGAATTCTTTTGATATAAACTTAGTAACGTCCTTGCTTGATAACGTCCTTGCTTTCTGGAATGAATTCTTGACCTAAATCAATTTTGAAATTTTACAATTCTTTTTCTTCATTACATATGTATTTCTATGGATGCAGAGCCATATTTTAATGTCTCTCAAAATCATTCCTCTCCATAGTATTTAAGGTCTCTGTGGACCTATAGCCCATGGAACAGTCAGGTTCATTTGTTTCATTTTGTTTTCAATTTTTAGATATTTTTTCAAATTTAATTTTGCCTTATAATTATATTAAATGTTTACATGGTTCCAAAGTCAAAACTGCAAAACAGGGAATATTCAGAAAAGATTAACTTCCATTCCTGTCTCTTCTACCTTTTACCTTCATTTTGTAGCATATTTTGTATGCTACGTTTTGTAGCATATTTTAATACCTGGTACAGCTAGCCATACCCACTTCCGTATTCCTTGCCTTCTTAAGGGTTTTCCTGGATATTTTACCTGTTTTTTTCATTGAGCTTTATAAACAACTTATCTAATACCAGAAAAAAACCCAAAACTTGATAATATTTTATTGAGATTGCATTTAACTTGTGAATTAGGCAGAATTTTCTCTTTATAATATTGAATCTTCCTATCCTAGAATATGGCATGTCTTTTCATTCATTCAAGTCTCCTTTTGTGTTTTGCAGGAGTGCTTAATATTTTTTCTCTTATTTTCTATGTACCTCTTAGAACCTCTATTGTTTGCATAAATGAAGGTCATTGAATTTTTTCTTAAACTAATATTTGTTCTCTTATTGTTTATAGTGATTTTCCCATTAACTTTTTTTCTTTTTCTCTTTTCTTTCTGTTTTTTGTTTGTTTGTTTGTTTGTTTGTTTTTGAGATGGACTCTTGCTCTGTTGCCCAGGCTGGATTGCAGTGGCGCAATCTAGGCTCACTACAACCTCTGCCTCCCAGGTTCAAGTGATTTCCCTGCCTTGGCCTCCTGAGTAGCTATGATTACAGGCGTGTGCCACCATACCCAGCTAATTTTTATATTTTTAGTAGAGACAGGGTTTCACCATGTTGGCCAGGCTGGTCTCAAACACCTGACCTCAAGTGATCTGCCCACCATGGTCTCCCAAAGTGCTGGGATTATAGGTGCCCAGCATGTTTTTTTCCAAATATATAATCATACTACTTGAAAATGGAGATAGTTTTTATCCTTACCCCTTTTTTTCTTCTAATACCCTCAATGTGATAGATGGCAGTGGAGGTAGAGGGCCTCCTTGTCTTATTCATGAACATAGTAGAAAATTCTATAGTGTTTCCCCATTAATTCTGGCAGAGATTAATTTTTCTGTAGAGACAGAGTCTTGCTATGTTGCCCAGGCTGGTCTCGAACTCCTGGGCTCAAGCAGTCCTCTCCCTCAGCCTTCTAAAGTGCTGGGATTACATGCGTGAGCCAATGCACCTGGCTGGGATTCATTTTTTAATGTAACTCTAAAGGTATCAGACACTCAGTGCTTTCTCAGCCATGTCTACTGAGCCTTAATTACCTATGATATTCAATACAATTAAATACCTTAAATATTCAGATCATATTTTTACTAGTTATGGTAACCCAAGAGATAACACCACAACATGCTAAAATGTCTTCTGAACTGCATAAAGGCATTACACTACTACTTTCTATGGCATCCTAGACATGCCATATTCTAGGATAGACTCAATATATATTATTTCTAAAGCATATTAGAGTTTATAAGGCCCTTATAAATATCATAATTTCATTTACTTCTAACCACATTGTGAGGTAGGTTCCATTATCTTCATTTTACAGATGAGGAAACTGAGACTCAAAAACCCATGTTGTTAAACATCAAATTCAATGTTGTTTTAATCAGATTGCACTGCCTCTATTTTATTGTATTATACTTATTAGAAAAGAAATCATCCTGATAAGCCTATTTCTTGACCTTTTCAACCAGAATGATTTATTTACCATTATGCTAATATTTAACAGAAGATTTGTCTATATGTAACATTTCATAAGGTCTGAGACACTAAAGGAAAGTCTCTCAATAAAACTATAACACAATGCTTACTTATCAATGTATGATTTATAAGAAAATAAATTACTCTCCCAGAAATATGTACCTCTTAGATTCTAGGAAATATGGCATTAATCATTTTATTTGATTTGATCAACATATTGTTAATACCCAGAACATATTCTTTAGGAGGCAATGTTGATGTTCAGAATAGATTCTTCCAGAGAGTGTTCTTAGAGAAGAAAATGGTGAGAGGGTACTATCAGCAAGTATTTATTCATAACCCAATTATGCCTAGCACTGTGGAAAACTGTCATGCCAGAACAATCTTGACAAACACCATATAAGCACCCTGAGACCATTTAATCACATGTATTATGGGGCCATTTTCTATCTCTTTCTCTAATTTCCAAACCACACAAGTAACATGGATACTTTCCCCTACACAAAGTTCATCAAGCATCATCAGAGTATGGTTGATAGGAGCTATTTGCCTTGAAGGGGAAAACTAAGGTGATAGCACCAGTTGTTCTGGATCAATTCGCCCCCATGCCTTATGTAGGAGAGAGGCCCAGGTTATTAACTGAGCCCATGGTGCAGTAAAGGAAATGGCAGAAGAGAAGAAGAAGCAGGTCCCCAAAGTCAAAGTAGAAGGGAGTAAGACCCAGGAACCCACTAAGGGGTGAAAGGAGGCCCAAATACAAGTCTAAAGCAACCCCTGAATGACATTTCACCCATGATTCATCTCGCTTGTTCTTTGCGCCGTCTATCTTAGGCTGCCATGCCTGGTTGGTTTAAAACAGCCATGTTCTTGAGTTGCCTTCTGACACCCCCAAAGCTGGATTCCTGGACAATCAGAAAAGTGCTCTGTTAAATCAGAATCCCACACTCAGTGGTCCTGGAGTCTTCATTTTAACAATTTTCATAAACAATGCTGGTACAGGCCATTTGCCAAACACACATTGAGAAATACTGTCTTTTTTTTTCCTTTAAGTTTTTTACTTTATTATTTTTTTTAATTTACGTTTTTTTACTTTAAGTTCTAGGATACATGTGCAAAATGTGTAGGTTTGTTATGTAGGTATACACGGGCTATGGTGGTTTGCTGCATTTATCAACCCATCATCTGGGTTTTCAGTCCCACATGCATTAGGTATTTGTCCTGATGCTCTCCCTCCCCTTGCCTCCCACCCCCTGACAGGCCCCGATGTATGATGTTCCCCTCCCTGTGTCCATGTCTTCTCATTTTTCCACTCCGACTTATGAGTGAGAACATGTGGTGTTTGGTTTTCTATTCATGTGTTAGTTTGCTGAGGATGATGGCTTCCAGCTTCATCCATGTGCCTGCAAAGGACATGAACTCATTCTTCTTTATGGCTGCATAGTATTCCATGGTGTATATGTGCCACATTTTCTTTATCCAGTCTATCATTAATGGGCATTTGGGTTGGTTCCAAGTCTTTGCTATTATAAATAGTACTGTGATAAACATACGTGTGCATGTGTCTTTATAGTAGAATGATTTATAATCCTTTGGGTATATACCTGTAACAGGATTGCTGGGTCAAATGGTATTTCTGGTTCTAGATCCTTGAGGAATCACCACACTGTCTTCCACAATGGTTGAACTAATTTACACTCCCACCAACAGTGTAAAAGTGTTCCTATTTCTCCAAGCCTCACCAGCATCTGTTGTTTCCCGACTTTTTAATAATCAACATTCTAACTGGTGTGAGATGGTATCTCATTGTGGTTTTGATTTGTATTTCTCTAATGACCAGTGATGATGAGCTTTTCTTCATATGTTTTTTGGCTGCATAAATGTCTTCTTTGGAGAAGTGCCTGTTCATATCCTTCACCCAGTTTTGATGGGGTTGTTTTTTTCTTGTAAATTTGTTTAAGTTCCTTATAGATTCCAGATATTAGACCTTTGTCAAATGGATAGATTGCAAAAAGAGAAATACTGTCTTTCTACTGATTCTCCAAACCTAGCTGACTCACTACAGGTACCACCCTTATGTAGTTCAGCACGGTTTCTGATGCCTTACTGTGAGGCTGAGTGTATATGTATATGTGTATGTGTATGGATACATTCTGTTCTTCCTCCTATAAGAAATCCTTAACACCTGTTTTTTGATTACATCCAACTATTCATATCTTTCTTATTTCATGTGTGACCAGGCCATCTTCAATTGAAATTGTATTTTCTCCACAAATTCACTGTCTTTGCTTTGGCCTCTCTGAGCCAGACTGACACACTACTGCCAAATGGATTTGAGTCCACTCATAGAGTTTGCCTCGGAACTTCCCCCTTTATTCCCAGCCTCATGTGACTCTTAACCCCTGGGTCCCTACTTGCCTCTTATTTTGCCTCTAATCTTTTAGAATTAATTGCATGTTTGTTTTCTTTCTGTTTCAAGCTGATTTTTTTCTAGCAAACCTTCTAGCTCTTACTGCTTGGAAAGGAAAAGACAAGTTCCAACCCCCAGATCTGAATCCTTGGCATTGATCCCAATTCAGCCCCATAATTCCCCCAAACCCATAGAAAGGGCTTTAATCATTAGATATGAATTACATCAACATTTCACGATTATTGGTGCAAAACACAGGCAGTTGGAATTGAGGAGTCCACTGCTATGTTCAGCATTGTTGGAAACACCTGCAACAAAGAACCTGGCATTTCTAGGCAACTGAAAGCAATTTCACCGTCCTCTCTATGTGCCTTATATTTGTAACAGGAAAAAAAAAATCCTTGGATAGCTCATGGTCCTCTTGAGTTTTCTGGAGATCTGGTCAGATTCAAGTGCTTTCTTTATGGCCTTCTGGACTCAAGAGCTGCTGATTTTGTGCCTGTCAATAGTTCAGTCTGCCTAAATGTCCTGGAACTTATCTGATTGCAGACTCATGGAGGTGTCTCTATATTGGATCAGCTATAGCACAGGAATTCTTGAGTCCACTTAACTAAATGGCACCCCTGAGTACAGCAGGCTGCCTCTACTGAAATCGGAAATCAATACTGCAGCGTGAAAAAGCAGTAGCCAGCTCAAATAGTGTTAAATCATGCAGGCTTCTGAATTGAGAGAAAAACTACATATTCTCTCAACTTTAATAATTCTTTCTTTTCATTAACATTATCATCTTATATTACAGGTGAGGAAATTAAGAACCTGTGTTTTCGCAAATTGCTTATAATTACAGAGCTTAGTTTACACAGCTTTAGTTTAAACCTGGGTCTCTCCTGCTCTATAATTTCTGCTCTTCAGTATTTAAAAAACAGCTAATATTTACTGAGCACTTACCAGGTACCAGACATTGTGATGGGCACTTTGATTAAATTTTCTCATTGAACTCTGTAATTGTTCTAGGTTAAGCAATGCTGCAGTAACAAAGAGCCCCTGTGTAATAGAAGTTAATTTCTTGCTCACATAACAATCAAAGGTAAAACTTTTATATCAATGTTTGCCTCTCCTTCATGAAGTAATCCAGTAACTCAGGTTGCTTCTATCTTGTGGCTCATCCATATCTTAGGGACTTATTTTTGTTTGGATCCATCAGGCAAAAGGGGAAAAAATATGAAGAGGCCTCTCTCTAAAAGTTTTAGCTGAAAACAACATCTAGCATTGCTGCCTATATTCCAATGGGTAGAACTCAGTCACATAGCCACAGTAAATGGCAAGAGAAACCAGGAAATGTGGCCTAGTAGGATGCCTAGAAATAGAAGGAAACAGATTTTTGGTGAATTGGCTGGCTCTTCCACAGGGAGACACTCTTATTATCCTCATTTTGCAAATGGGAAAACTGAGACTAACAAAGATTAAATAACTAGCCTAAATTCACAGAGCTAGTCAGTGGCATTGGAAGGATCAAGTCTTTATGACTCTGGAACCTAAACTCCATACCAGAACCTAAAGTCCAATAAAACTTTCCGTGATGATGGAAATATTCTGTATCTGTACTCTTCAAAAGAGTAGCCACTACCCACATGTGGCCAAAGCAATTCTTTCCCAACCTCTCCTCTCTTTCTCTTCAAGCCTCCTTCTTATTTTCAGTCCTCCCATTCTGGTATCCCATCCCCTTTTCTTCAAAACACATCATCCTTCCCATCCACCAAGGAGAAAATTCTGCCCCTTCATGTGTCAAGCCTATGATGCTAATGGGACCCCTCCTCTGCCTAGTCTTTAGTGACTCCAAATTGGAAGAAATGGGCTGTTGTACAAATGGGGTCAACACTAGGTGCTTCAATGTCAAAATAACTTTTTCATTAGTGAAAATTAGATCTGATTTCCTTACTATCTAAAAAGAGAGCCTACCTTGCCAAAGCAAGTGCTAGTTTGCTTGTTTGTTTCCAAGAAACCATATAAACTGATCTTACATTAAAAAGAATCTTGGGAGTTAGTGTTTCAGTGGGGAAAACAGAAAAGTTCTGGACAAAGATGGTGGTAATCGTTGAAATACAATATGAATATACTTAATGCCACAGAGCTGTAAATTTAAAAATAAATGGCAAATTTTATGTTATGTATCTTTTACCACAACAAAAATTAAATTTAGAAAAAGCCTTCTTCCTGTTAACATGACTTTGAACCTGCTCCTTGTGAAACAACTGCCTGACATTATTGTACTACAGAGTATTTAATGCCTGCCTAAAGCTGGCATACCTTACCTATAATGGCTCTTGTTCTCTCAGCAATCTGGGATGAGGGTATGGCAGCTCCTAAGCGATTCTTTCTGACTCCCAAATTCCTCCCTTTTGGAAACCCTTGCATGCAAAGGGTACAGTCCTTCCTTGCCCAACCATTATGAGGGAAGAGGCCAAAAGAGATGGTACAACCTGGCCAAACTGTTTTATTGAAAAAATTGTCCATGGTCATGCTCTGTCTTTGATTTTTTTAAAAAATGTTTTTGAAAAAGTCATCTTTGGAAAACACTTTGCAAGTCTAAAACTAAAAGTATCAGATGAATGCTATTCAGTGCCCTGATGAGGTCTCTAGTTGAAAGTAAAGAGGTAGCCCTCTTATTATCTGGCTGGACATTTCCCTACTAGAGAGAATGTCCATCTAAATAAGTTGCAATTGCTGCAACTGGAAGCAGTTTCCTCACATTATTTAATCCATCTGCATCCCCTTCTGCACTGAAAATGGATAGCTAACCAGCTACTGGGAAGATACTTGGGGAAAACTGGGACGTGGATAAAGTTGCTTAATGATGAAGGGAAGGATTATTCTGAGTAGAAATTCTGAGAATCCCCCAGTGCAATTTTGTGTCATTATTCAAATTGACAGGACTCACTACTCTGTTTAAATAATGCTGTGTTCTGGTAACACTGGTTATGCTGGTTGCTCTTACTTGATTGTTTATTTAGTTTAAAATATTTTTAATATGAGATACTCTATAGTTTATTCCACTACTTTGTTCACACAGAAACTGAAAAAGTTGCCTCAAGATCTCAATTTTCATTTTTGCACATTTGGAAATGTTGTTTTTAACCTAGCCTTGTCAACAGGAAGGTTTTCACAAACTGGATTGACATCCCAAGATGCCTTTTCATTGAGTCAGTTTCTGCAGGGCATCCAGCTTCTCTCCCACATTTTAAACATTAAACCAGAATGTTGTTTGAAAAAGATGAAAACATCACAATCCGCAGCCATCCTGGGCTTTTTTTCTGGAAAGCATTGTCAGTAGAATCATCAAATAAAACATGAAGAGACCTGTCTCTTAGGAAGAAGATCAGCTTTCATAAAGAAAGAGTCCTTGAAGCAAAGGGAAATGACCCTTTCTTAGATGCTTGGCAGAACAATCCCATAGGCCCTCCTTCTCAGGAGCTGGAGGAGGTATCAGCATCTCCTCAAAGATATGGTGCCTGTAAGACCCCACCTGTCTGCAGTGTTTATACTTCCCAAAAAGATTAAGGAAGGCCAGGAGGACTTTGTGTGGAGCACACAAAACAAATATCAAGAAAGAGCAAATTGACTGACCTGATAAGAAACGAATTATTTTCTCTCTGAGAGTGTGTGAATTGTTCTTTCTTGGGAACATGAGCTCATTGAAAATGAGCATAAATACTTTTGGACACTTCCAGTAAAGAGAAGAAAGTTAGAATGATCATCAATCCCACATCCACCCCCATGCAATTTAGAGAGAAACCAGGTAGAGATGGAGAGATGCCTCCTCATGTTGCCTACAGAGGCCACTCGTGCTGCATGGCTCCAGTCAGGGTCCCCCGTCTCACTGGGTCTAGTCTCCAGCTTCTTTGCTGGTACAGGAACTCAGCTTTGTCCAATCACTCAGACTTAGTGGGACCTGGAAGAACTGACTCACGGCAAAAGGCAGATGCATAAGCCAGGAGGCCAACATAGTAATTTACAAAAAACAAAAATAAATAAAATATAAATAAATAAATTTGGCAAGAACTATAATTATCAAGCTCCATACAGGGAACCTCTTTCCTGATACCTGAATACTTTTGAAGCAGAATTAGCAACCAAAATATGTTATTTGGTGAGCATAGAAAAATCAAGGCAAGGGCACATGAGGAGTCTGGAGAGTGTTTACTCTGGTCAGCAGTTGTGACTGAAAGACTCAAGAGTCTGGAACATCTGATTAAGTTAATAAGGTGCTTGATCTTAAAAATATAGATAATTCGGCCGGGCACGGTATCTCACGCCTGTAATCCCAGCACTTTGGAAGGCTGAGGCGGGCAGATCACGAGGTCAGGAGATTAAGACAATCCTAGCCAACATGGCGAAACCCCGTTTCTACTAAACACACACACACACACACACACACACACACACACACACAAAATTAGCTGGACGTGGTGGCACGTGCCTGTAATCCCAGCTCCTCGGGAGGCTGAGGCAGGAGAATCTCTTGAACCAGTGAGTTGGAGGTTGCAGTGAGTCGAGATCACACCACTGCTCTCCAGCCTGGCGACAGAGTGAGACTCCCTCTCAAAAAAAAAAAAAAAAAAAAATACAGATAATTCTAGGCTTTCATGTACTCATTAAAGCTGATCTCTGACTCCCAATTCCTGAGGTGAGCCACAGTATATCTTGTCAATGTATAATTTTCAAAAAGTTAAAAGTATGACTCTCATTGAACTATCAAATGAATATGTATCAAAAATTTTATTCAACTCATTAATTGATGAGGTAACCAATAAGAAGATAAAAGTTCTCCAAGAGCATTTTGGATAATTTAGTTTACATAGTCTTTTTCTTTAAAAAGGACTAAAATTTCTAGATACAAAATTAATTAATGTCTTTAGGGGCAATAAACCATAAACTTCAGGGTCATCTTTACACCAGAAGGAAATCATTGCATCATATACAAGTTTAACATGTATAACTTTACAGATCCTGAGCCCTCAATTATTAATAATAAATAGTAAATAGCAGAAACAAATAATGGTAAATTCTTATAGGAAAATATATCATCCTTGGATGGGCCTGTTAAATAATGATTAAGTATGGCATTGAAAGGGCTTACGGTCACACTCTCGGACTTGTTTTCAGGTTGTGGATAATTTTTCTTAACAGGCTCAAGTAGCTCCTGAGTTCACATTTCTAGAAGATCCTGATATATGCCTGAAATTCCCACCTGTCCCTCTCCATTGCCTCCCCATCTCTGAATAGCTGGCATGTTCTTAACATTCAGGTGTCAACTCAAAACTGAAGCACTCAGACTTCGTTGTTCATACATACATTCCTCCAGTTACTCTTCATCTAATCACCATCTCCTTCATGGCACTTACCACCATCTGTGATTACGTTGTTTATTTGTTTACATGTTTATAGTTTGAGTCCTCTACTGAAATATAAGTGCCAAGGTCCGTGGGAAAGGAACTGGCCTATGTAATTCACCTCTATATCCTCAGCCCCTAAAACAGTGCTTGGCATATAGTAGATTCTTAATAAATGTATGCTTAAAGAATGAATAGATGGATAGATGGATTGATAGATAGATGGATGGATATATACACAAGCCCATAGTTACATTAGCTCGATACCATTGATGACATTGTACCAGATTTTTTGCTATTTGGTCTCACCTTTTAAAGACCCCTAGAAAAATACCCCTCTTATCTACTCATTCTTATCTCCACATATATCGATGCTAGTGATTAGGTTAATTAGGTTAATGTTTCCATCACATCAGTTATGACCTGGGACACTTCCTTTAATTTAAGACAAGTCTACATTCATCATGGAAGCTTTCTTTCCTCATTGTCATGTCTCAGAGAACTTCCCATTGCTACTCATTTGTCACCATATTTTCTCCTAACATTTTTTTTCCTTAAATTTAAACATAACTTTCCCTCCACCAGCCATAGGGAGTTAGAAGAAGGAAAGGAAGGGAAGGGAAGAGTCTGGAGGATAAAGCAGCCAACAGAGAAAAGCACTCCTTCAGGAATGAGGGGCTGGAATGCAAGTCACAAAAAAAAAAAAAAAAAGAAACAGTATTGTGGCCACATCTGGTTCTCACAGCATAGCTTTTGGAGGGGAAAGAGGCCTAAAATCTTAGAAAAGGAAGGTAAAGAAAGTAGCCTTGTGGATTTTCTAAATGTCAGGTCCTTTTTATTTCACTGGCGTATTTTATGGTTTAGTACTTTGCTTCTTTGAACAGTTCCTAGAATAGCAAGGATTAAGTCTAGTACTAACCATGATAAATCCTGGTTTACCTTTAAGCAATGAGATTTTTAATAGAATAAAGTAGAAGAGGGATGTGGGGTGGGTGAGACAAACAAACAGGATTCAATTAAGTCTTAAAATGGGTGAGAAAAGAAAGAGCATCCTTTGGATTCTGATCCTCAGAACTTTTTCTACAACCTACTTGTCTCCACCCCCCTGCCCCCCGACGTCGGTTTCATTTCCTGTGGCAATTAACTTTACTTCAACATTATGTTGACCACACGGCATGCTTTATTGCACCGGTATTTAAAACCTTTCATGACAGCTATCCCATGAAAGAGTAAAATCACTAAATGGACTTGTCAGGAAGCATTACCTCTAGCTCATCTGCCCTGCAGACCAGCTGGCCTTCTTCATAAGCTCTCTTACCATGCAATCACCCCTGCTACTCCCAATAATCAAACTGACTCTTGAAGGCATATGATGTAACGAACCACAACAGACCTTAAGACAAGGTCAGCATATGATCTAGAATAATATCATCAAACTTTAGCAACATCAGAATCTCCAGGAAGGCTTGTTGAAACATACATCATTGGGTCCTAACCCCAGAGTCTCTGATTCAGTAGGTCTAGGGTGGGGCCCAAGACTTGCATTTCTGACAAGTTCCCAGATGATGCTGATGCTGCTGGTTCAGAGTTCATGCGTAAAGCATGATTCATATAGAAGAAATAGTCAAGAGACAGTTTCAACAATACATTTCCCTCAATTCACCCATCTCAACCTTAAAATTTCTCTATATCTGCATCCACTGTTTCTTTTTTATGAAAACAAGTTTATCTGCCCACTGCACTCCAATTCAATTACTCAAAGACTCTTTCCCAGAGTGTTTTAAGGCAAGAAGAAAGCTTTGGAGTCATCTCTCAATAGTTGCTTCTTAAATTAACACTATTGACATTTGGAGTTGGATAATTCTATGCAGTGGGGGACTGGACTGGGTATTGTAGTATGGTTAGTGAGCCTCTATCCACTAGTTGCAAGTGGCACTGCCCCCTTCAGTGGTAATAAAAAAATATGTCTCTAGAAACTGCCAAATCACCCTTGTTGAGAACCACTACTCTAGTCAATTGTATCTTTACTCTCTCCTTCTTTGTTGGGATTTAAGGGTGAAAATTCATCGCATGCCTTCCTGAGTTGGGGCCAGTTGAGAAACAAAAACAGAACTTGAAAACATGGCCATCAGAATATAATTTCACTGTTGCTAAAGCTGGCCCCAGTGCACAAGTAGGAATGCTTCTCCTGGGAGATGTTTGGGTTGTGATTAACAATAGGTGAATGAATTCTGGCTTTAAACTAACACAGAAACAGAAAACCAAATACTGCATGTTCTCACTTGTAAGTGGAAGCTAAATGATGAGAACACGTGGACACAAAGAGGGGAACAACAGACGCTGGGGCCTACCTGAGGGTAGAGGGTACAGGAGCAGAAAAAAATTAAAAAAAAATTTGGTACTAGGCTTAGTACCTGGGTGACAAAACAATCTGTACAAAAATCCCCATGACACAAGTTTGCCTATATAACAACACACCCATACCCCTCAACCTAAAATAAAAGATTAAAAAAAACAATAGATGAGGAAGCCCATAGCTAATCTTAGGTAGGGAAAAAAATAAATGTATAAATACCAGGTGGGACCACAGTGGCAAAACTAAGGCAGTGGATCTCAACCTTGGATTCATATTAGAATCACCTGAGGAGCTTTAAAAACCACTGGTACCTAGACCCCACCTCAGACCAGTTAAATAGAATTTCTGAGTATAAAGGCCAAAACATCAGAAATTTTAAAAAGCAGCCAAGGTGATTATAATGTGCAGTCAAAGTAAAGAACCACCGCTTAACTTAATAGACTGAGAACATTAAATCCCTTGTTAGATTTTTCTTTAAGGTATTAAGGAGACAGCCCCTAGTCTGAAACAAGATCTCTCAGTGTTTCTTAAGACTTTTTCAGTCACAAAATTCTGCTGACGTGTAAGTTGCATAAACATAATAGAAAGGCCATGAAATATTTACAGGCTTCAGAGTAGGCTTCCTACTTCAAGTGTCTAAGCCAAGAACTTGAACGCATGTGCAAAGACCTGGAAGTTTGTGATTAATAGGCTGAATGCTGCAGCATTTTAACGTGTTGGGGAGGAGACCTAGGGCAGGAAAAAATATGACAAGGTTAGTGAGGTAAACAGAACATTTGGATCATGTTAAGGAGTCTTAATTTCTATCCTGAGAGCAATGGGAGGCACTGAGGGCCTCTATGCAGAGGAGTGATGTGGTCATATTTGGATTTCTGGGATTAGGACTCTGCCTATTTTGTAGAATTTGAATTGCATGAGGGCAAGGCTGGAGGCAGGAGGTCTGGTTAAAAGTCGTATCAGTGGCCAGGCGCGGTGGCTCACGCCTGTAATCCCAGCACTTTGGGAGGCCGAGGCGGGCAGATCACGAGGTCAGCAGATCGAGACCATCCTGGCTATCATGGTGAAACCCCATCTGTACTAAAAAAAATACAAAAAAATTAGCCAGGCGTGGTGGCAAGAACCTCTAGTCCCAGCTACTCAGGAGGCTGAGGCAGGAGAACAGAGTGAACCGGGAGGCGGAGCTTGCAGTGAGCCGAGATCGCACCACTGCACTCCAGCCTGGACAGAGCGAGACTCCGTCTCAAAAAAAAAAAAAAAAAAAAAAAGAAGTCCTATCAGTAATCCATGTGAGTTAATTTTTAAACAGGGATGACCAGAACTTGGTACCAGATCACCTTTGGATATAAAGAGAGGAAGAGGAAAGACTTAACCCTGATTCTTCTATTGGTCACGTGGATGAAAAATGGTACCATACCTTAAAATCAGACCACTGAAGGAGCAAAAGGTTTGGGATGAGAAAGATGAATTCAGTTTTGTATTTGCTGAGTTGAAGGCATCTACAGACTATACAGTGGGCAGTTGGCCCAGGATTGTATCAAATTTAGCACTGGAAGTCCCACATCTCAGGAAACCACTTAGTCCTGGGTGAACCAGGACAGTTGGACAACATGGCAGTTGCCTACATAAGTTTGATTCTCAGAGAAGAGAACTCAGCAGGGACATAAATATGAGTTGTCAGTAAATATATGGCAAGTGTGCGTGTGTACATGCATGTAAGTGCTCATGTGTGTGTATGACTAGAAGGAAAAACACCAATCTAATAACAGTATATTCTTCTCAGTGGTTAAATCATAAAGCTATTTATTTTTTTTAAATTGGCTTTTAATTTTCTAACTTAATAATATATAGTTTAAAATTCACACACACATTTTTAATAAGCATGCCAATTTGTTATATTTGCTGAGAACTTTCTAGTTCCTGTTTAAAAATTCAAAATGGAAATAATTATTTTTAAAAGTCCTAGAGAGGTTTCCCGGTATGGGCAAGTGTATTCTACTTTTGTATAGTGATATTAGACAACATTAAGAAATAGACTACAGATCAATTTGGTTAGTACCTGGTGACAATCTCCTAAATTCCAGTGTCTACTTAGGCTTAAAGTAACCTGGCAATAGGAAAGTCACTTGGTGATATGAACTAAACTGATAGAGAAGGCTGCTGTCCTTCTACGTTTTTATTAGCTTTCTAAAATGAGTTTATCATATACTACCTTGCTCTGTTGTTCATTCTGCAAAGACAACCTACACTACACAGTAATCAAGTATGTATTTGAGACTTAGCAGCCGCACCTAATTTCTTTGGAAAGCATATCGGCAATGATTTCATCAGCCATTTATTAAAACAAGTAAGCTAAAAATGATAACAGCAATCCTCAATCTGAGTAACGAAGAGAGCATGGGAGAAGCCTATGTAAGTTCTGGATCCTGTAGAACTGGGTACACCGGTGTTGGGATTTGAAGCCCAGGACTCCTTAGAATCATGTGATAGAGACCTCAAGGTATTCCAACAACTTTATCATCCCAGTGAAAAAAACTGAGAACCAGAGAGGAAAAATTACTTCCCCGGGACCACACAGCTCATTAGAAGCCAGACTAAAACTTGGATCTGGACTTACAGAAGGGAAAAGAGCATTAAGACAGTATTGTGTACCTACTGTGTGCCAGGAACTGTGCCAGGTACTACCCCACATTCCATCCCCTCTGTCCATACAACAAAATTGCAAGGTTAACAAAGAAGGAAACTGAAAATCAGAGAGCTGAGTAAGTTCCTGAATATTTGCAGACCTCTTGAGGGAAGAACCTGAAGCCCAGGTCTGTTTAACTCTAAAGTCCTTTCTCCTAAGACTTCCTAAAGCCTTGTGTTTCTTCTGTCAGGCCACACTAACTTCCTCAAAACTACCATTCTGATATGTAGGCTAAATGAGGAAACAGGTTCAATTGATCTTCTAAGGCAGGAGAAAAACAAAATAGTAGATGTGTTTATCTATCATCTTCAGTAATGAAAGGAAAAAGGAAGAGAAGAAATACCAACGACTTTCCTGAGATTTAATATCACCCAACACATTTCAGGTGAAGTGCCCTTAGGTGTGGACAGTTGGGAAAAAGAGGTCTCGAGGGTTTTTCTAAGCTTTTAATAAAAGCTCAGAGAGCCCCATAGTGTTTAAAATATCTCAGGAGGACCCTGCATATATGTGGGAGAAATTATGTATGGGAAGAAAGGGGAAGGCCCTTTGAAGGATTCTTTCTTGCTTTTCTGAGTCTGAAGTCAGAAGTAATAAAAACTCTCTTTTGCCTTTCTGCCTACATTTTATAAACTGTATCTATTTTCTAATGCTTTCCTCAACATTTTCTCTTCAGAGCCTCACCTAGGAAATAGCACAGGAATTAATATTCTAATTTTACAGATGAAGAAAGTGAGACATAGATTAAGTAACTGACACAGGATATCATGGATAACTAGCAAAGGTGGGAAGAGAAAGTGGGAAAAAGAGATGTGGTTTGAAATGGTTTACCATTTTTTACTATGCATTTCTATCAATAAAAGCACCCTTCAATGTAGGCACATTTTACTAATTGCAAGCATTTACTATTATACTAATATAGTATGTATGTTTTAAATTTTATGCAATAATAGAATTTTTTTTTTTTTTTTTTTTTTTTTTTTTGAGACGGAGTCTTGCTCTGTCCCCCAGGCTGGAGTGCAGTGGCGCGATCTCGGCTCACTGCAAGCTCCGCCTCCCGGGTTCACGCCATTCTCCTGCCTCAGCCTCCCGAGTAGCCGGGACTACAGGCGCCCACCACCACGCCCGGCTAATTTTTTGTATTTTTAGTAGAGACGGGGTTTCACCGTGGTCTCGATCTCCCGACCTTGTGATCCACCCGCCTCGGCCTCCCAGAGTGCTGGGATTACAAGCGTGAGCCACCGCGCCCGGCCGCAATAATAGAATTTTTAAAGGCTATGGTTAAAAAATAATACAGATGAAAGTGCTTATAGTTTCTTCCTTCACCTAAATTATGATGGTCACACCCTAGGGTGGCCCCTATAACTCTCACCCTCTAGTAGTCATGTTTTTGTGTAATTCCCTCTCCTTGAGCGTGGGCAGGATCTGTAACTCTCTAAGCAATAGATATGGCAAAGGTGATGGGATATCTTTCTTGTGATTATTTTTTATGTCATATATGGTTGTATGGAAGAGGTGAAGATGTAATTAATATCCCTAATCACTTGAATTATATCTAATTAAAGGGCAGTTATACTAGTGGGCCTTACCTAATCAGATATGCCCTTTAAAAGATGGCCTAGGCTTTCCCTGAAGTCAGAAACTCCAAGCAACAGAGACTCTGTCTCTCAGCGTCTGTCTTCTAAGAAACAAGCCACCGTGAATAGTACAGCCACAAATTCTGCCAATAACCTGAGGGAGCTTGAAATCAGATCCTTCCCTAGTCAAGCATTCAGATGAAAATGCAGCCTACCTGACACCTAGATTTCAGCCTTGTGAGATACTAAGCACACAACGCAGCCACGGTGTAATTGAACTCCTGACACACAGAAAGTGTGAGATAACAAATGGGCCTTCTTTTAGGCCATTATTGTGTGGTAAATTATTACACAGCAATATAAAACTAATAGACCAATAGAGGGTCTTTTGTACCCCTTAGGTTTTGCATACCTTATGCACTCTTTTAGCCCTTTGCCCACAAGATCTCGTTTCATCTTCCTCCAAACCCTATAAGAATTGATATTTCTGTAACCACTTTGGGAGTGAAGTGACAGACTCAGCAGGCTTAAGTGACTTGCCCCAGCTCTCACAGTTAGAAGTGAAAGGCAAGAGACTTGAACGTCAGCCTGGAGATTAGAAAGAATAAAGCCAGTTCTTCTAGCTTCCTTTTGTTGTTATTGTTGTGATTGTTGCATCCAACTGGCCCTATAGTGTGCCACAACATAAAACTATTTCCACATGGCCGCCCTCCCCTGCTGGTGCCTCTCGTAATAGGAACTAGCTTTTTCTCCTGGGTTTCTGCTAATTTACTGTCCTGAATTCTTCTACTTCAGCACTGATGCATTGTAGGACCTGTAGCTCTTCAGTGACAACAGTGGGTTCTGTGTTCCATTGTTACTTACACACGAGAAGAATCTGTGTGAGAACCATCTATCAGGACTGTAAAGTTACCTGACTATAAAGTTCTAACAGTTGACTGCTTCAATATTAATGGAGCTTGTCATTCTGAGAAGCAATTTGATATGACTTTCCTTTCATTCTACTGTGGAACAAAGTACCAAAAGCTGCTGCTTTTCACAAATAAATTTTTCACCTGGGCACAGCTATTTGAGTACCTGTTGTTCATGTGTTTCCAGGTCTCAGGTCTTGCAAACTCATTACTAACCAAACCCAGGGACATAGAGTTAAGGAGGAAAATGCTTGGTTTCCATGCTTGCCTTGCTGGAGGCCATTTTCCTCTAATAAGAAAGACTTTTGCTGAACTGGAATGACAGGAAGACAGGCAGGACTTTTCTTCCACCTACTTACAGGAATTGGGCTTCTGTGGGCATGGTCCAGAGCTTAGTAGCACCCTCCCTGGGCCTCATTTTCTTTAGTAATCAAATGGAGATAATAGTACCTGCCCTTATTTCATAGCGTTGGTTCATTCACTTATTCACTCATTCATTCTACAAATCTTAGATTGTCTACTGTATTCCAAGATAGCCACATGAAAAAATTTATAATCAAGAAGCAGAGCTGGAATTTTCAGAACCATGTCAATTTCAAATATTTAAACTATTTATTCTTTAACAATTATAAGTAATTGCTGAATATCTTTTAAGTACCATCTGTCTTAATTACATTAAATATGTAGTCATTCTTTCAGTCATATATAAATCTTCTTTCAAGACCTACTGTCTATGAAGCACCATGCTAGGTTCTTAGGATATGGAGATGAATATCTCTATCATCAGGACATTCAAAGTGTAATGGGGAAGGCTGATGTCCATGAATAAGCAGATAGGTTTTTATTATTTATTTATGTATTTAATTTTGAGACAGGGTCTTGCTCTGTTGCCCAGGCTGAAGTGCTGTGGCACAACCACAGCTCACTGCAGCCTTGGCTTCCTGGGCTCAAGCAGTCCTCCCACCTTCAGCCTCCCAAGTAGCTGGGACTACAGATGCATGCCATCACACCTGGCTAATTTTTGTGTTTTTTGTAGAGTTAGGATTTCACTATGTTTCTCAGGCTGGCCTTGAACTCTGTGCTCAAGCAGTTTTTCCTCCTCTGCCTCTGAAAATGCTGTGATTCCAGGCATAAACCACTATGCCCAGCCACACAGACTTATTTTAAATTTTAAGTGAAGAAATGATAGGGAATGAAAAATCCTTAGAGCACCTATCCTGGGATGGGGGAGAAAAATGATATTGTCAGAGCTGCATTTCTGATAGTTAATCTGGTTCTATGGACTTGAAGAAGAGAAGAAAAACAGAGTGCTACTGTGGTTCAGACAAGAGATGAAGAGGCCTGAAATGCAGTCACATTGAGGATAAAAGAGCAAAGGAGTCATTTGGAGACTTATTTAAGCAATAAATTTGGTAGGAAATGTTATTGCCCAGAGACCAGGTGGGAAAGGGTAAAAGGGAAAGTAGAGAATCAAAATTCCTCTCCAGTTTCTATTTTGAGTAATTTTTTCCCATCAGCCATGCAGGGTAGGTTTGTTATCACCATTTTACTCAGAGAGCCTCAAGATCAAGTAACTAGAAAGATCAGGACCAAGATTCAAACCTAGGCCAACTAACTCCAAAGTCCATGCTTTTTGCTAAAAATCAAACCTCCTCTAGGATCTTCATATGAATCTGACAATGTGCCCCTATTCTTAGATCCAAAAATCTGTTCCCTGGACAATTAGATGGGGCAAAGGTAAAGAAAGGACATGGCAAGATTAGAGACGGTGGAGGGCAGGCAAAAGGTGGAATCTGATAACCAGGCTTCTCTTCCTTCCACGTCCTACATTCCTTTGCCAATGCTCTTCTCCACTAGCTGGTACACAGTTCTTGGGGTTCTCCTGGTAACTTGGTCCTGTCTGTAGAAATCAACAAAGGCAGTTTCTACAGTAACCCTTGGCAGTAAGATTTACTGGGATGGCTCACAGCGTCTCCAGGTATTGAGATATATCTTATGTATTCTAAAAGGAAAGGCTTAAAAGATGACAATCAGGAAGCTTCAGTTGGCTGCTTGCTTACTAGCATTTCTCAGGCTCCGTCTTTCACTTCAGCTCTGATTTGCAATATAGAACCTTCTGCCTGGCCAAAGCAGTATCTTGACAGTGGATAGGAGCTATTTTACCCCTCAGAGTTACCTCTGAATCTGCACAGTAACTATAAGACAGCTGCAGGCACAGTAGAATGCCCCTCTTCCCCTATCTCTGCTCTGCTCCCCAAGACTAGAGGCTGGTGATTCAGATGGCAGAATGGTACCATCTGTGAGTAAATGCTCTGCATGATCCACAGTGATTTCCAAGGTAACAAAGATATTCCCTAGCAGCAACAGAGCCCAGAGATGGTACCTAACTGTACTCACTGGATGCCTAGAACTTTTCAGAGCTTGTCCTCATCCTGACATGCTTATGTATCTCTTTTTCTTCAACCAGCTCATTTGATTCCTAGCATTGTTTTTTATTTTTAATTTTTTGTGGCTATATAGTAGGTGTAAATATTTATGGGGTTCATGAGATATTTTGTTGCAGGCATGCAATGTAATATAAGCACATCTTGAAGAATGGGGTATCCATCCCCTCAAACATTTACCCTTTGAGTTACAAACAATCCAATTACACTCTTTATTTTAGAATGTCTGCTGTGACTGTCCTCAGCAGGACTCTCTCTTTCTGAATTTAGCCCTGCAACATGTGTTGGACCTTAGAAACATGGGGGAGGTTTTTTGAGGAGGTTTCCAGAGGACAGAATTCAACCTTGTGTTTTTCTGCTATATATAGTGAGCTTTTCCTCACTGTGGTGAGAAAACTATATAGTTTTCTGCTATATGTATGTGAGTATTTTCCCTATATGTAGGGGAAAGGATTTCCTTTGTTTCACAGAGTAGGTCATTTCAATGAAAGTTATGAAAACAGGAAATTATATTTGTATATTGATTCATTTTACAGAAGAGGAAGAAAAAAATATGTTGCTCTGGAAGGGGAAAAGAATCCTTTGGCCTAACTCATAATTCTTGGTACATTGTATGTTTTAAAAGAAATGTAACTAGAACTCTTCAGTATCCTAGACCAGTATGAAATGACAGATTTTCTATTATTTTCCTTCTGTTTGTGTATAGTTTGTCACTTTTTTTCAGCAGTTTGTGTCCTTAGTGAATCACAGAGTAAGATTCTAAGCACTTTCTGAACAAAGTAACCCCTGCATTAGAAATTGGATACTATGCAACAGTTGAAAAGCAAAGCCTTTCATGCATAGTTTCTTGAGCCTCCTGAGCCTTTCTCCAAGGTCAAGGTGAGGGCTCCACTCACAATTCTGAAACTCCTCTTTGTGACTTTAGACAAATAACCTTCCTGTGCTTAAACTACATTACCTACAAAGATGGTAATGCCTGCCCCTAGCCACTTCTCAGTTACCTTTTTTCAGGAAGTGAGAAAGTCTAAAAAGGACTTTGGATCCCTTTAAGGGACCTGTTATTTTAGAAATGCATTATTGGGAGTCAGGGCCACATAATCAGGGCAGTCAGATATTTGCCACAAAGGCTCTTGAGACTTCAAAGAATAAAAAAATCAATGAATTGCTTACTTTATCAAAACTCTGTATTTGAAACTTTGGATCTTTTAAAATTTATATGGTTATAGTTAAAATACTTTACTTCTCTGGACCTCCATCATTAATAAAATGGGCATAAAATAGTACCTGTCCCATAGAGTTGTAAGAATTAAAGGAGGAAATGAAAACAACACACTTAGCATATAATAAATAGTCAAAATGCATGGCCAAAGTGACCTGTATTAGATGTTATGATAGATAATTAAGATGTTTTGTTGGTGAGACATCAGATGAAATGAAACATACTTGTGTTCTCTGAGGCACCAGCCCCTCCTGCAGAGAGTCAGTGTTTCCAAGAAAAAAAAATGGCCAAACATAAAAGATGCAGAGATATTATCTGTAACTAGTTATAATGAGGTCTTCAAAAATATATAACTAACTCCAGCTCTTTGTTCTAAAGGATGAGTCCCATTTCAAGGTAGGTACGATGTTAGTCTGGACATCACAGATGGATAGTGGCAATAACAGCAATGTAATTCAAGACATCTTGTATCCTTTCAGTTTGCAGAACCATTTCAGTCTTCCAAGTTTTTCCGGTTTTTCACTTCTAGGCAACAATGGTTTGGAACCTCCAGCATCTCTGTTGGCAGTAAATTCCTAGTTCCAGTTCATCAGAAGCTTTTTGCTTGTGTGACATTACTCTTGGTCTCCTCTTCCTTATCTGAAAATTTTATTGACCTGCAATTAAATTATCTACAGTTGGAATAATTGCTTGCTGTTTCTCTGCTTCTGACCACTACTGGAAAGCCATTTGGACTTTAGATTGTGCCCAGCTTTCCTTCACCTTCCTTGATTATGCTCCTCTTATGTACCTGCTAATTTTATCTAGAGTCCAGAGCATTCTTAGACCTTTTCCATTCCTGTAAGTCCCAGAGGATGACACTGACTTGCTTGAGGTCACAGAATCAATCAGTTGCTTAGGGTAAGAGGCAAGATCTTCTCATTCCTAATTCTGTGATCTTTTCACTTCTTGTATGTATGGCCCCTTCTTGTATAAGAATAAATGTGATTCATATCTAAAATCTGGACATGGAAAATGGACTAAGCTGAAAATAACTGTTGGCAAAAACATAAAGTAGTATTTTTCAAAAGGTAATCCCCCTAACCAGCAGTGTCAGCATCACATGGGAACTTGTTAGAAATGTAAATTCTCAGCCATGCCTGGTGGCTCACACCTATAATCCCAGCACTTTGGGAGGACAAGGCAGGCAGATCATGAGGTCAGGTGATCAAGACCATCCTGGTTAACATGGTGAAACCCTGTCTCCAATAAAAATACAAAAAACTAGTCAGGCATGGTGGCGGGCACCTGTAGTCCCAGCTACTCGGGAGGTTGAGGCAGGAGAATGGCTTGAACCCGGGAGACAGATCTTGCAGTGAGCCGAGATCATGCCACTGCACTCCAGCCTGGGTGACAGAGCGAGACTCCATCTCAAAAAAAAAAAGAAATGTAAATTCTCAGTCAAGCTCCACCTAAGACCTACTAAAGCAGAAATTCAAGCCCTCTGGGTGATGCATGCTAAAGCTTGAGAACCAATGGTACAGACTATGCCAAAAGTGTGTACCTTAATTACAAAAGGCTATTAAATGGGCACTGTATTAGTCCACTCTCGCGCTGCTATGAAGAAATACCAAGACTGGGTGATTTATATGGAAAGAGGTTTAATTGAGTCACTGTTCTGCAGGGCTGGGGAGGCCTCAGAAAACTTACAATTGTGGCGGAAGGAGAGGCAAATAAGTCCTTCTTCACATGGCGGCAGCAAGGAGAAGTGCCAAGCAAAGGGAGAAAAGCCCCTTATAAAACCATCAGATCTCATGAGAACTCACTCATTATCATGAGAACAGCAGCATGGAGGTAACAGTCCCCATGATTCAATTATCTCCCACCAGGTCCCTCCCATGACACATGGGGATTATGGAAACTACAATTCAAAATGAGATTTGAGTGGCAACACAGCCAAACTATATCATTCCACCACTGGCCCCTTCCAAATCTCATGTCCTCACATTTCAAAACACAATTATGCCTTTCCACCAGTCCCCCAACATCTTAGCTCATTGCAGCATCAACCCAAAAATCCAAGTCCAAAGTCTCATCTGATCCCTTTTGCCTATGAGCCTATGAAATCAAAAGCAAGTTAGTTACTTCCTAGATGCAATGAGGGTACAGGCATTGGGTAAATACACCCAATCCAAATGGGATAAATTGGCTAAAACAAAGGGGCTACCAGCCCCATGCAAGTCCAAAATCCAAAAGGGCAGTCATTAAACCTTAAAGTTCCAAAATGATCCCCTTTGACTCCATGACTCACATCCAGATACCTTCCACCAGATACCCTAAATTATCTCTCTCAAGTTTGAAGTTCCACAGATCTCTATGGCAAGGGCAAAATGCCACCAAACTCTTCGCTAAAGCATAGCAGAAATCACCTTTATTCCAGTTCCCAACAAGTTCCTCATCTCCGTCAGAGACCACCTCAGCCTGGAATTAATTGTCCATATCCCTATCACCATTTTGGTCAAAGCCATTCAACAAGTCTCTAGGAAGTTTCAAACTTTCTCACATCTTCCTGTCTTCTTCTGAGCCCTCCAAACTGTTCCAATCTCTGCCCGTTTTACCCAGTTCCAAAGCTGCTTCCACATTTTGGGGTATCTTTATAGCAGAACCCCACTCTCTGTAGTACCAATTTACTATATTAGTCCATTCTATGATGCTATGAAGAAATAACCTAGACAGGGTTATTTATAAAGGAAAGATGTTTAATTGACTCACAGTTCTGCAGGGCTGGGGAGGCCTCAGGAAACTTACAATTATGACAGAAAGGGAAGCAAGCATGTCCTTCCTCACATGGCGGCAAAGGGAAGTGCCAAGCAAAGGGGGAAAAGCCCCTTATAAAACCATCGGATATCATAAGAATTTTCTCACTATTATGAGAACAGCAGCATGGGGGTAACTGCCCCCACGATTCAATTACCTCCCACTGGGTCCTTCCCATGACATGTGGGGATTATGGGAACTACAATTCAAGATAACATTTGAGTGGGGAAACTGCCAAACCATATCAGCCATTAATGCATAAAATTGTGTTAGGATTTCACAAGTAGACTTTAATTTTAAGTCTATTATTTTACCTGGAAGACAAGGTAAGATAATAACTTTTCAAGGTCCAAGGTTTTACTTAAATTAGCAGAAGTGTTCTTAGGGCTCTGCAGGGCCTGGCTGAAAAAAAGAGCACAAAGTTTAGGGGAGATGCTGCCAGAGGCAGGCAGGTATTCCTCTTGATGGAACATTTACTCTTTACTGTCCAATTCAGCTGACATCAAATTTCTCTATAGTCTTACACCATGCTGTTTTGCACATGTATATTACCTTCCTGGTCTCTGGAGATATTTGAATATTCTGAACACTATTTAGTCTTTTTAAATTTTTTTATTTTTTATTTCAATAAATTTTGGGGGAACAGCTGGCATTTGGTTACATGAATAAATTCTTTAGTGGTGATTTCTGAGATTTTGGTGCATCAACCATCACTCGAGCAGCATACACTGTATCCAATGTGTAGTCTTTTATTCCTCGCCACCCCTCACCCTTTCCCCCAAGTCCCCAAAGTCCAATGTATTATTCTTATGCCTTAGCGCCCTCATAGTTTAGCTCCCACATATGAATGAGAACATAGGATGTTTGGTTTTCCATTCCTGAATTACTTCACTTCGAATGATAGCCTCCAATTCCATCCAGGTTGCTGCGAATGCCAATGTTTTGTTCCTTGTTATGGCTAAGTAGTATTCCATGGTATATATAAATACCACAATTTATCCACTGGTTGATTGATGGGTATTGGGGCTGGTTCCATATTTTTGCAATTGCGAATTGTGCTGCTACAAACATGCATGTACAGGTATCTTTTTTGTATAATGACTTCTTTTCCTCTAGGTAAATACCTAGTAGTAGAATTGCTAGATCAAAAGGATACTTTTAGTTCTTTAAGGAATCTCCACACCGTTTTCCAGAGTGATTGTACTAGTTTACATTCCCACTATCAGTGTAAAAGTGTTCCCTTTTCATTGCATCCACACCAAAATCAATCAATTTTTATTTTTTTATCATGGCCATTTTTGCAGATGTGAGGCGGTATTGCATTGCATTGTTTTGATTTGCATTTCCCTGATACTTAGTGATGTTGAGCATTTTTCCATATGCTTGGGACCCATTTGTATATCTTCTTTTGAGAATTGTCTATTCCTGTCCTTAGCCTACTTTTTGATGGGATTTTTTTTTTCTTGCTGATTTGTTTGAGTACTTTGTAGATTTTGGATATTAGTCCTTTGTCAGATGTATAGATTGTGAAGATTTTTCTCCCACTGTGGGTTGCTTGTAACTCTGCTGGTTATTTCTTTTACTGTGCAGAAGCTTTTTGGTTTAATTAAGTCCCATCCATTTATCTTTATTTTTGCTGCATTTGCTCTTGGGTTCTTGGTCATGAAGTCTTTGCATAAGCCAATGTCTAGAAGGGTTTTCCCAATGTTATCTTCTACAGTCCTCATGGATTCAGGTCTTAGTTTTAAGTCTCTGATCCATCTTGAGTTGATTTTTGTATAAGGTGAGAGACGAGGATCCAATTTCATTCTTCTGCATGTGGCTTGCCAATTATCCCAGCACCATTTGTTGAATAAAGTGTCCTTTCCCTGCTTTATGTTTTTGTTTGCTTTGTCAAAGGTCAGTTGGCTGTAAATATTTGGCTTTATTTCTGGGTTCTCTATTCTATTCCATGTGTCTATGTGCCTATTTTTATACTAGTACCATGCTTTTTTGGTGACTATGGCCTTATAGTATACTTTGAACTTGGGTAATATGATGCCTCCAGATTTGTTCTTTTTGCTTAGCCTTGTTTTGGCTATGCAGGCTCCTTTTTGGTTCTATATGAATTTTAGGATTGTTTTTTCTAGTTCTATGAAGAATGGTGGTTGTATTTTGATGGGAATTGCATTGAATTTGTGGATCGCTTTTGGCAGTATGGTCATTTTCACAATATTGATTCTACCCTTCCATGAGCATTGGATGTGTTTCCATTTGTTTGTGTCATCTATGGTTTATTTCAGCAGTGTTTTGTAGTTTCCCTTGCAGAAGTCTTTCACATCCTTGGTTAGGTATATTCCTAAGTAATTTATTTTATTTTATTTTTTCAGTTATTGTGAAAGGGGTTGAGTTCTTTATTTGATTCTCAGCTTGGTCACTGCTGGTGTATAGCAGAGCTACTGATTTGTATCCATTAATTTTGTGTCCTGAAACTTTGCCAAATTCATTTACCAGTTCTGGGAGCTTTTTGGATGCATCTATAGGGTTTCCTAGGTATACAATCATATCATCTGCAAACAGTGACAGTTTGACTTCCTCTTTACTGATTTGGATGCCCTTTATTTCTTTCTCTTGTCTGGTTGCTCTGGCTAAGACTTCCAGTACTTTGTTGAATAAAAGTGGTGAAAGTGGACATCCTTGTCTTGTTCCAGTTCCCAGGGGGAATGCTTTCAACTTTTCCCCATTCAGTATAATGTTGGCTGTGGATTTGTCATAGATGGCTTTTATTACCTTAAGATGTGTCCCTTCTATGCTGCTTTTGCCAAGGGTTTTAATCATAAAGGGATACTGGATTTTGTCAAATGCTTTTTATGCATCTATTGAGATAATCATGTAATTTTTGTTTTTAATTCTATTCATGTGGTGTATCACATTTATTGACTTATGTATGTTAAACCATCTCATATCCCTGGTATGAAACCCACTTGATAATGGTGAATTATCTTTTTTTGATATGCTATTGGATTTGGTTCACTAGTATTTTGTTGAAGATTTTTGCATCTATGTTCATCAGGGATATTGGTCTGTAGTTTCCCTTTTTTGTTGTATCCCTCCCTGGTTTTGGTATTAGGGCGATGCTGGCGTCATAGAATGATTTAGGAAGGATTCCTTCTTTCTCTGTCTTTTGTAATAACGTCAATAGAATTGGTACCAGTTCTTCTTTGGATGTCTGATAGAATTCAGGTCCAAATCCATCTGGTCCTGGACTTCTTTGTTGACAATTTTTTATTACCATTTCAATCTCACTGCTTGCTATGGATCTGTTCAGAGATTCTATGTCATCCGGGTTTAATCTAGGAGGGTTGTATATTTCCAGGAATTTATCCATCTCCTCTAGTTTTACTAATTTATGCATGTAAAGATGTTCATAGTAGCCTTGAATAGTTTTGTATTTCTGTGGTATCAGTTGTAACATCTACCAATTTTTTTCTAATTGAGCTTATTTGGATCTTTTTTCTTCTTTTCTTGGTTAATCTCGCTAATGGTCCATCAGTTTTATTTATCTTTTCAAAGAACCAACTTTTTGTTTCATTTATCTTTTGTATTTTTTGTTTGTTTTAGTTTTATTTAGTTGTGCTCTGATCTTCCTTATTTATTATCTTCTGCTGGGTTTGGATTTCGATTGTTCTTGTTTCTCCAGTTCCATGTGATGTGACCTTAGCTTGTCTATTTGTGCTCTTTCAGACTTTTTGATGTGGCATTTAATGCTATGAACTTTCCTCTTAGCACTGCTTTTGCTCTATCCCAGAGGTTTTGATAGGTTGTGTCACTATTATTGTTCAGTTCAAGGAATTTTTTAATTTCCATATTGATTTCATTGTTGATCATTTGGAAACAGGCTATTTAATTTCCACATATTTGCATCGTTTTGAGGGTTCCTTTTGGAGTTGAGTTCCAATTTTATTCCATTGTGGTCTGAGAGAGTACTTGATATAATTTTGATTTTCTTAAATTTACTGAGACTTGTTTTGGGGCCTATCATATGGTCTATCTTGGAGAATGTTCCATGTGCTGATAAATAGAATGTATATTCTGCAGTTGTTGGGTAGAGTGTTCTGTAAATATCTGTTAAGTACACTTGTTTTAGGGTATAGTTAAGTCCATTGTTTCTTTGTTGACTTTCTGTCTTGATGACCTATCTAGCACTGTCAGTGCAGTATTAAAGTCCCCCACTATATGTTGCCATCTGTCTCATTTCTTAGGTCTAGTATGAGTAATTGTTTTGTAACTTTGGGAGCTCCAGTGTTAGGTGCATATATATTTGGGATTGTGATATTTGCCTGTTGGACTAGTCCTTTTATCATTATACTATCACCTCTTTGTCTTTTTTAACTGCTGCTGCTTTCAAGTTTAGCTATTCCTGCTCACTTTTGGTGTCCATTTGCAAGGAATATCTTTTTCCACCCCTTTACCTTAAGTTTATGTGAGTCCTTCTGTGTTAGGTGAGTCTCCTGAAGACAGCAGAAACTTGGTTGGTGAATTCTTATCCATTCCGGCATTCTGTATCTTTTAAGTGGAACATTTAGGCCATTTATATTCAATATTAGTATTGAGATGTGAGGTACTATTCTATTCATCATGCTATTTGTGGCCTGAATACCTTGTGGTTTTTTTTTCATTGTGTTATTGCTATATAGGTCCTGTGAGAAATATGCTTTAAGGAGCTTCTATTTTGGTGTATTTCAAAGATTTGTTTCAAGATTTAGAACTCCCTTTGTAGTTTTTGTAGTGCTGACTTGGTAGTGGCAAATTAGCTCAGCATTTGTTTGTCTGGAAAAGGCTGTATCTTTCCTTCATTTATTAAGCTTAATTTCATTGGATACAAAATTTTGGCTGATAATTTTTTTCTTTAAGGAGGCTAAGAATAGGACCCCAATCCCTTCTAGCTTGTAGGGCTTCTGCTGGGAAATCTGCTCTTAATCTGATAGGCTTTCCTTTATAGGTTACCTGATGCTTTTGCCTCACAGTTCTTAATATTCTTTCCTTCATCTTGACTTTAGATAACTGGATGACTGTGCCTAGGTGATGATCTTTTTGTGATGAATTTCCCAGGTGTTGAGTTTCTTGTATTTGGATGTATAGATCTCTAGCAAAGCTGGGAAAATTTTTCTCAATTATTCCCTCAGATATGTTTTCCAAACTTTTAGATTTCTCTTCTTCCTTGGGAACACCAATTATTCTTAGGTTTGGACATTTAACATAGTCCCAAACTTATTGGAGGCTTTGTTCATTAACAAAATTTTTTTTCTTTGTCTTTGTTGGATTGGGTTAATTTGAAAGTCTTGTGTTTGAGCTCTGAAATTCTTCCTTCTGCTCATTTGATTCTATTGCTGAGACTTACCAGTGCATTTTGCATTACTCTAAGTATTTCATTGATTTCCAGAAGTTGTGGTTGTTTTCTATTTATGCTATCTATTTCACTGAAGAATTTTCCTTTCATATCCTGTATCATGTTTTTTATTTCTTTAAGTTCGACTTTACCTTTCTCTGGTGCCTCCTTGATTAGCTTGATAATCAACCTTCTGAATTCTTTATCTGGCAATTCAGAGATTTTGCCTTGGTTTGGATCTGTTGCTGCTAAACTAGTATGATCTTTTGGGGGTGTTAAATAACCTTGTTTTGTCATATTACCAGAATTGTTTTTCTGGTTCCTTCTCATTTGGGTAGACTATGTCAGAGGAAAGATCTGGGATTCAAGGGCTGCTGTTCAGATTCTTTTGTCCCACTGGGTGCTCCCTTGATGTGCTGTTCTCCCTTTTCCCCTAGGAATGGAGCTTCCTGAGAGCTGAACTGTAGTGATTGTTTATGCTTTTCTGGGTCTAGCCACCCAGCAGAGCTACTGGGCTCTTTACTGGTACTGGGAACTGTCTGCAAAGAGCCCTGTGATGTGATTCATCTTCAGGTCTTGCAGCCATGGATACTAGCACCTGCTCTGGTGGAGGTAGCAGGGGAGAGAAGTGGACTCTATCAGGGTCCTTAGTTGTGTTTTTGTTTAGTGCACTGGTTTTGTGTTGATTGGCCTCCAGCCAGGAGGTTGCGCTTTCAAGAGTGCATCAGCTGCGGTCCTATAGGGAGGATGCAAACTTGCCCTAGGGACACCTGGTCAAGTATTAAAGTTTCTCAGGTGGTGTGCAGGGCCACAGAGCTTCCAAGAGACTATGACCTTTGTCTTCAGCTACCACAGAAGGTAGAGAAAGACCACTAGGTGGGGGCAGGGATAGTAGTGTCTGAGCTCAGCCTCTCTTTGGGCAGGGCTTGCTGCAGCTGCTGTGGGTGATGGGGGTGTGGTTCCCAGTCCATTGGAGTTATATTCCTAGGGGGATTATGGCTGCCTCTGCTGAGTCAAACAGGTCACCAGAGAAATAGAGGAAAGACAGCAGTCACAGGCTTCACCCTGCTTCCATGGAGCCTGCAATCCTAAAGGCCGGTCTCACACTTACCAAGCAACCCCGCTCAACAGCACCAAGTCTATTTTCAGGCAGTCAGTGACCAGGGCTAAGAACTTGCCCCAGACCACAAGCCTCCCTGCCAATAAGCAAGCAGAGTCACAGTTTTTTGGCATCTCAGGGAGCCTGCAGCAGTGATCCAGTTCCTTCAAAGGGTCTGTGGATTCTCTTGGCTTTACTGGTATGTTCCTGCAGTAGTTCTTTTTTTTTTTTTTTGAGACGGAGTCTCGCTCTGTCGCCCAGGCTGGAGTGCAGTGGCGGGATCTCGGCTCACTGCAAGCTCCGCCTCCCGGGTTCACGCCATTCTCCTGCCTCAGCCTCCCAAGTAGCTGGGACTACAGGCGCCCGCCACTACGCCCGGCTAATTTTTTGTATTTTTAGTAGAGACGGGGTTTCACCGTTTTAGCCGGGATGGTCTCGATCTCCTGACCTCGTGATCCGCCCGCCTCGGCCTCCCAAAGTGCCTGCAGTAGTTCTTGGAGCAAAAGTTCACGGTATAAGTCTCCATACACTGCACTGTCTATGCAAGCAGGAGCTGCAAGCTAGTCTTGCCTCCTGTCTGCCATCTTCATCCCTCTCCCCTGTTTGGTCTGTATGCAGGATATTAGATTGATGTGTCTCAGATAATACTGTGTAGCAGAATTTTCGTGATGTCCTATTCTGCATTCAACAGAATGTTTAATATTGGCACAGTCCAATAGGGCTATCACAAGACATGTGTTGCTATTGAGTACTTGAAATATGGCTAGTGGAAGCAGAGGAATTGAGTTTTTAATTTTATTTAATTTTAATGAATTTACATTTAAAGAGCTGCATGTGGCTAGTGGCTACCCTATTAGACAGCATAGGAATAGATATATTGATCTAATATCTTACACAATGTTGATTAAGTAGAAAGGTAATTGTATACTTTTGAATAGTATTTAGAAAACTTAGAAATTGATAAACCTAGAATAGTCTTTTTAAACATTAGTAGGGCACTTTTAGGACCACTCCAAAAGTGATTATGTCTAAATCATTTATTAGAATAGTGTGACAAAGTTAGGAGCCTTCTGTTTATGATGGGTGTTAAGTCATTCTATGACCCGCAGGTTTTCCGAGACTTTTTACAACTGCAGCTCTTAGAAATCTATTTTAAGTGGGAAGAGGTTACTGAACCCAAATTTGAGAAAAATCGTGGAAAATACAAATGCTCTTCTACAGAAATCATGGAAAAGCATTCCAAAAATCAAAATTTATTTTTCATCCTTATGATTGAGCCATAAGTCACCGATCAAAGACCTGTCATAATCAAGTTTTTCAAAGGGATAAGCTATAAATGAAATAATTTGAACTTTAAAAGATCATATGTGACTGCATCTGAGTACCATTTGATGTGTTATTAATTTATTTTTTCAGATGTTTTTAAGTGTTTGGTAATTTCCTCGACCAAAAGGAAAGACACTGAATCCCCCCATTTTCCACTTAGGATGATTTCAGCTTATGAAGTAGTGACATAAGACCTAGGATAGTCTCTTTTAAAACATAACTAAAAATTTTTTAAGCTTTACAGTTTCTCACATGAATTCTGAAAGAACATTGCTTCAATTTTTACCTTCTTATCCTCTCATCTCCTTTCCAGTTATGAGATATTGTCAGACTCAAGAATGAGAATATTGAAGGTCTGGTTAGGTTCAAGGTGGAAGTAATTATATTTACCCAATCTAAAGTATTCATTTCAAGAATGGAGGTAAGCAAATAAGAACAGACTATGAAGTTACTGGATATTACTGGCCTCTAAACTGGAGACCTAGGTTTAATTGTCTCTAGAATTATTTTGCTGGCTGATGTTCTGCAGAATTGGATTGTGTTGATAAATGAGTTTGATTACTTACTTTCTTCATTGATTCTGACAGCTACACCTGAAGAAATTATTCAAAGTGAAGTATTATTTCTAATCTAGATTTCCTATGGATAAAGCTTTGGCAAAATATTTGCCAATCTTGGCATTTATGTATTATAAACTTATTAAGTCAGTGAATGGATGCTCAGCATATGCAGTTTATATGACTATTAAATGTGTTTCCAATACCTGAAGGATAAGTATGCATGTTGGGAGTGAAGATACATTTTTATATCACACAAACAGTAAGATAAAGAATAAGAGTATATTTTTATTAAATGTACCAAGGGTTGCAGTATAATCTCCAAAATTAATTGAGATCAATATGGCTAACCATCCCAATCCCCAAATATATCAAATGCCTTAAGCATGTGCATTTTTTTAGCTCCACAATTCTATTCTTAAAAATTTGTTCTATGGAAATAATTATATATGTTCATATTTATAAATGAAATGGCCAACATAGGTGAGTAGTAACAACAATAGTAGAACAATTTAAATAATGTAATCCTCTTCAGCCTTTACAAATAATATTATAAAACAATGATTCTAAATAAAGAAGGGAAAGGGGAGTGAACCAAAATCATCTGCCAATTTTTTTCTTTCTTTCTCCTTTCTTTGGGTTTATTCTGTTCTTTTTTTTAAAAATAAAAAAGTTACATTGAACATTTGGCTTATCAATTTTTAGCCTTTCTTCATAACGAGTACAAATGTTTCAGGCTTTAAATTTTCATTGATGGCTCACTTTTAGCCATATCACACAAATTCTAATACTTATCTTTATTGTCACTTAGTTCCAAGTAATTTTTGTTTCCATTATTATTAATTATGTCTTCACTTATGAGTTACTTAGACAGCAGACTTTCAAAAAATTTTTAGTTAGAGATTCAGTTGTTTTTAAAAAATCAATGTTTTTATTTAGTAGTAATAGTCACAGAACATGGTCTGCCTCATATGCTTCTTTGACTTTTGAGACCGGCTCTTTAGTCTAGTCCTAACCAGAGGTCAACTTTTATAAAGATTTCTGTGTGTTTGAGAAGAATAGGTACTTCTACCTTACAATGGGTACCTATAATGTGGTAGGGATGGGGGTGGGGTAAGGAGGTGAATGAAATTTTAGAGAGGTAATGATGGAAGCAAAGAGACCAGATAGAAAGCTAATTGCAATAATTCAGGCAAGAAATGATGGTAGAATGGACTAGGGAGGTAGTGGTGAAAATGTTGAGATGGAATTAGATTCTGGATATATTTTGAAAGTAAAACCAACAAGATTTCCTGAAAGATTTGATGTGGAGTGCAGGAGAGAGAAATCTTAGCCTGAGCAACTGGAAGGTAGAGATACTATTAGCTGAGATGGGGAGGACTGCAGGTGGATCAAGTTTGGGGTAGAAGACCCAAATGTTAGGCACCAGAAATGGAGAGTTAGAGTAGACAGCAGTTCAGGGGAAAGGTCTGGACTGGAGAGATACGGGATCATCTAGGTCAGTGGTTCTCCACTGGGGTGCTTGGGGCAAGTGCTATGGGCATCTAGTGGGTAGACATCAGTGATGCTTCTAAACACCTTGTAATGTTCAGGATAGTCCCTTACCACAAAGAATTATAGGACCGAAATGTTAACAGTACCAAGACTGAGAAAACCTGACCTAAGGCCTGAGCATAAGAGAAGAAAAGGTGCTCAAGGACTCAGCTTTGGGGCATGGCTTAGTAGGAGTTCAAAGAGATGAGAAGTATCTATCAGATAATTCTAAGGTGTGTGTCTAGTAATACTGGGGGAAAAAACAGGATAGTCTTATGTCCTGAAAGGCAAGTATTTATAGTATATTAAGGAGGAGGAATTCATCAGCCTTGTCAATGCTGTTGATAGATCAACAAAGATGAGGACTGAAAATTGCTCTTTGAATTTACCATTGTGGGGTAATTGAAAAGACCCCATATTAACAAGAGTAATTTCAACAGAGTGGTGTTGGCAAAAGTCTGACGCTGTTACTTACTGACTGAGTGACTTAGGGCAAGGTACTTAGCCTCTCTGAGTTTTAGTTTCCTCCCTCATAAGCTGAAGGTAATAATCTACTTCATAGGGTTGCATGAGATAATGGGAATAATGAGGCGGAGCACAGTGGCTCATGCCTGTAATCCCAGCACTTTAGGAGGCCAAGGTGGGTGAATCACCTGAGGTCACGAGTTCGAGACCAGCCTGGCCAACATGGTGAAACCCCGACTCTACTGAAAATACAAAAATTAGCCAGGCATGGTGGTGCACGCCTGTAATCCCAGCTACTCGGGAGGCTGAGGCAGGAGAATCACTTGCGCCCAGGAGGCGGAGGCTGCAGTGAGCCAAGATCGTGCGCAGTGGTGCAATCTTGGCTCACTGAAACCTCTGCCTCTTGGGCTCAAGCGATTCTCGTGCCTCAGCCTCCCTCTTGTGCCTCAGCCTCCCGAGAAGCTGGGACTACAGGGTGCCATGGCACTCCAGCCTGGGCGACAGAGTGAGACTCTGTCTCAAAAAAAAAGAAAAAAGAAAAAAGTGTTGGGGAGGGGGGATAATTACGTGTAAAGCACCTATCACAGAACTGGCACATAGTAGGCCCTCAAAAAATCTAAAATCTCCTTCCACAACTCTCCCATTCATCTCCAGTTTCTCTCCTCCTGCAACCCCTCCTACATTTCCCCCACACAAAAACTACTACTTCAATGTTTTATCAATACTAAATACTATTTAGTATTATAAGAGGCAATTCTCTCATTAAAATACACTTTGTGATGGGGACCATATTTCAATGATCCCTTATTATTAACTGAAGAAAAAGAAAAATGTTAATAATTTCCGGTTTTCCGTATAAGGTAATACATTGAACTGGGAGAAAAACAGGTAGCAATTTAAAAATACAGAGTCACAAAGTAATTTCTCATTAAATTAAATATTTCATTGTTGAATTGAATTGTTTATTAAGTCTTTTTTCGGTTTGAAACTGTGCAAACCCAAACCAGTAGCTCCATTTTCTAGGCCTACTGAAGTTCCCTGTACCTTTCCCACATAAAACTACTATATACAAAACTTTCAATCAAAACCAAAAATCCCCGGAGAGACATGTCAAAGGATGGGGATTGGATTGGGGAAAGCTAAAGACATAGAAAATTTCTCTTTAAAATGTTTTACTCTGGAATTTCAACTGGTTTTGTCTTCTCTTGGGATTCAGAAAATGATTATATTAACTCTAATGATTTTATGGTGACTTTATAAAAAATGGATTTAATTTTAAAAGGTCAAGGGTAGCCATATTCTGAGAAAAAAGATATCTGAAAATATGTCATTCTGCATGCAATTGTAATTTCCACAGAAGTAAAGGCCTGGGAGGTCATCCAAGTAATGAGATTTCATGCTAATTCCCCAGTTAGTCACACACAGTGAGCTCACAGTCCAAGTGGCTTCAGACTTCTCTCGAAGCTGAGGTGGCTGGAGAGGAATTCTCCATGATTTAGAACTTCAGGGTACCCTGATGTTGTCCTAATCAGCAGCCTGATTCTCCTATCTGCTGAGCCCCCAAAGAGAGGTTTTTATCTCCCTATCTCTACATCTACTATATTTCATTGAGTCTAAGACACACATTTTATTCATATTCTTCTTATGTCTTGGAAATCAGGTTTCATCTTATAATCTATTGCTATTGGTCAGTCTGTCCAGAAGAACACTTTGTGTGATGGAAATATTCTATATCTGTTCCATTCAATATGGTCACCCCTAGCCACATATGTCTCCTGAGGACTTGAAATATGGCTGGTGCAACTAAAGAGGTCAATTTTTAATTTTATTTTATTTTCATTGTTTAAAATTTAAATAGCCACATATGTCTAGTGGTGGGCCTAATGGACATCATAGGTGCAAGTCAAATTCTTAAAGGAAGGATTTAACTTTGTTTCTTCCACTCACTTGAGAAATGACTAACTTGAGACTCCTTTAAATTAAATTTTCTGTTTGAGGTTTTTTCACTGCACCAGTAGTGAGTTCAGACTGAGGCCCTGAGTACAGTAGTTCCCCTTTATCTGTGGTTTCTCTTTCCAGAGTACCAGTTGCCATTGGTCAGCCACAGTCTGAAAATGTTACATTACTACTCATGCCCTTTGGGGCTATGATTAAGTAAAATAAGTTACTTGTACAAAAACAGTGTGATACTGTGACAGTAGATCTGATCATCAAGATGGCCACTAAGGGACTAGCCGGCAGGTAGAATAGATGGACAAAGGGAATGATTCGTATCCTGTGTTGCAGGACAGCGTGAGATTTCATCATGCTACTCAGAACACATGCAATTTAAAACTTACAAACTGCTTTTTTCTGGCATTTTTCATTAAATCACAATGCCTACATCATTCACCTCACTTCTTCTCATCATATAGCAATTTTATCATCTCATATCATCACAAGAAGAAGGATGAGTACAGTACAATAAGATATTTTGAGAGTAAGGGAGAGGGAGAAAGAGAAGGAAAGAGGGGGAGAGAGAGAGAGAGAACGAGAGAGAGACCACATTCACAAATGCCTATTACAGGCATACTTCAGAGATGTTGTGGGTTTGGTTCCAAACTACTGCAATAAAGTGAATATCACAATAAGGAGAGTCACACAGATTTGGGGATTTTCCAGTGCAAATAAAAGTTATATTTACACTATTGACCAGGCACAGTGGCTCCCACCTGTAATCCTAGCACTTTGAGATGCCAAAGCAGTCAGATGACTTGAGGCCAGGAGTTCGAGACCAGCCTGGCCAACATGGTAAAACCCCATCTCTACTAAAAATACAAAAATTAGCCAAGCGTGGTGGTGCATGCCTGTAATCCCAGCTACTTGAGAGACTGAAGTATGAGAATTGCTTGAACCTGGGAAGCGGAGGGTGCAGTGAGCCAAGATCACACCCACCGCACTCCAACCTAGGCAACAGAGTGAGACTCTGTGTCAAAAAAAAGTTATGTTTACAGTATCCTGTTCTTTATTAAGTGTGCAATAGCATTATGTCTGAAAAAAAAAGATGAACATACCTTAATTTAAAAATATTCTTGCTAAAAAATGCCAATAATCATCTGAGCCTTCAGTGAGTCATAATCTTTTTGCTGGTGGAGGGTGATATGGTTTGGCTGCGTCCCCTCCCAAATCTAAACTTGAATTGTATCTCCCAGAATTCCTACGTGTTGTGGGAGGGACCCAAGGGGAAATGATTGAATCATGGGGGCCAGTCTTTCCCGTGCTATTCTCGTGATAGTGAATAAGTCTCAATGAAGGCAGAAATAAAGATGTTCTTTGAAACCAATGAGAGCAAAGACACAACATACCAGAATCTCTGGGACACATTTAAAGCAGTGTGTAGAGGGAAATTTATAGCACTACATGCCCACAAGAGAAAGCAGGAAAGATCTAAAATTGACACCCTAACATCGCAATTAAAAGAACTAGAGAAGCAAGAGCAAACACATCCAAAAGCTAGCAGAAGGCAAGAAATAACTAAGATCAGAGCAGAACTGAAGGAGATAGAGACACAAAAAACCCTTCAAAAAATCAATGAATCCAGGAGCTGGTTTTTTTTGAAAAGATCAACAAAATTGATAGACCACTAGCAAGACTAATAAAGAAGAAAAGAGAGAAGAATCAAATAGATGCAATAAAAAATGATAAAGGGGATATCACCACTGATCCCACAGAAATACAAACTACCATCAGAGAATACTATAAACACCTCTATGCAAATAAACTAGAAAATCTAGAAGAAATGGATAAATTCCTGGACACATACACCCTCCCAAGACTAAACCAGGAAGAAGTTGAATCCCTGAATAGACCAATAACAGGCTCTGAAATTGAGGCAATAATTAATAGCCTACCAACCAAAAAAAGTCCAGGACCAGACAGATTCAGAGCCAAATTCTACCAGAGGTACAAGGAGGAGCTGGTACCATTCCTTCTGAAACTATTCCAATCAATAGAAAAAAAGTGAATAAGTCTCATGAGGTCTGATGGGCTTATCAGCGGTTTCTGCTTTTGCTTCCCTCTCATTTTCTTCTGTTGCCACCATGTAAGAAGTGCCTTTCACCTCCCACCATGATTCTGAGGCCTCCCCAGCCATGTGGAACTGTAAGTCCAACTGAACCTCTTTTTCTTCCCAGTCTTGGGTATGCCTTCATCAGCAGTGTGAATATGGACTAATACAGAGGGTGTTGGGATGTTGCCTCAATGTTGATGGCTGCTGACTGATCAGGGTGGTGATCACTTAAGATTGGGGTGGCTGTGGCAATTTCTTAAAATAAGATAACGATTACGTTTGCCCCGTTGACTCTTTATTTCATGAAAGATTCATTTGTACCATGTGATGCTGTTTGACAGCATTTTACCCATGGTTGAATTTCTTTCAAAATTGGAGTTAATCCTCTCAAACCCTGTCACTGCTTTATCAACTAATTTTATATAATAATCTAAATTCCTTGTTGTCATTTCAACAATGTTTATGGAATCTTCACTAGGAGTAGATTTCATCTCAAGAAACTATTTTCTTTGATATTCATAAGAAACAACTCCTCATCCATTAGTTTTATTATGAAATTGCAGCAATTCAATCACATCTTCAGGTTCTACTTCTAATTCTAGTTCTCTTGCTATTTCTACCACATCTGCAGCTTCTTCCTCCACTGAAGTCTTGAATTCCTCAAAGTCATCCCTGAGCATTAAAATCAACTTCCAAACTCCTATTCATGCTTGTAGTTTGACCTCCTCCCATGAATCATGAATGTTCTTAAGGCATCTAGAGTCATGAATCCTTTCCAAACTATTTTCAATTTACTTTGCCCAGATCCATCAGAGCACTATCTATAGCAGGTATGCCTTACAAAATGTATTCCTTAAATAAGAAGACTGGAAAGTCAAAATTACACCTTGATCCATGGGCTGCAGAATGGATGTTGTGTTAGCAGACACAAAAACAACAATGAATCTCCTTGTACATCTTCATCAGAGCTTTTGGGTGACTAGGTGTGTTTTCAATGAGCAGTAATATTATGAAAGGACTCTACTTCTGAGCAATGGGTCTCACAGTGGACTCTAAACTTTCAGAAAGCCACGCTATAAACAGATATGATTGTGATGCCATTCAGGCTTTATTCTTCCATTTATAGCACACAGGTAGAGTAGATTTAGCATAATTCTTTTTCTTTTCTTTTTTTCTTTTTTTTTTTTTTTTTGAGATGGAGTCTCACTCTGTCTACCCAGGCTGGAGTGCAGTGGCACAATCTCAGCTCACTGCAACCTCTGCCTCCCGGGTTCAAGCAGTTCTCCTGCCTCAGTCTCCTGAGTAGCTGGGATTACAGGCGCCCACCACCGCACCTGGCTAATTTTTGTGTTTTTAGTAGAGACAGGGTTTCACCATGTTGGTCAGGCTGGTCTCGAACTCCTGACCTCGTGATCCACCCACCTCAGTCTCCCAAAGTGCTGGCATTACAGGCGTGAGCCACCGTGCCCAGCAATTTAGCATAACTTTTAAGGAACCTAAGATTTTCAGCGTGGCCAGTGAGCATGGACTTCAACTTAGAGTCACCAGGTGAGTCAGCCTGTCTTTCAAAGATCTGAAGCCGGGCATTGACTTCTCCTCTCTAGCTAAGAAAGTCCTAGATGGCATTTACTTTTAATATAAGACTGTTTTGTCTATATTGAAAATTTGTTGTTTAGCCTAGCCATCTTCATCAATGATCATAGCTGGATCTTCTGGGTTACATGCTTTAGCTTCTCCATCAGCACTTGCTGCTTCACTTTATACTTTTCTGGTATGGAGACAGCTTCTTTCCTTAAACCTCATGAACCAAATTCTGCTAGCTTCAAACTTTTCTTATGCAGCTTCCTCACCTCTCTCAGCCTTCAGAGAAATGAAGAGAATTAAGGACTTACTCTGGATTGGGCTTTAGCTTAATGGAATGTTGTGACTGGTTTGATTTTTTATCCGAACCACTAAAACTTTCTCCCTATCAGCAAAAAGTCTCATTTGCTTTCTTACCATTGATATGTTCACTAGAGTAGTACTTTTAATTTTCTTCAAGAATTTGTTTATTGTATTAACAACTTGACTAAGCGTTTGTTGCAATAGGCCTAGCTATTGGCCTCTTTAGGCTTTTGACTTGCCTTCCCCACCAAGCTTAATAGCTTTTGATTTAAAGTGAGAGACATGTGACTCTTCCTTTCTTGAACATTTAGAGGCCACTTTAGGGTTATTAACAATATTGGCCTAATTTCAATATTGTTGTATCTAAGGAAACAGGAAGGCCCAAGGAGAGGGAGAGAGATGGGAGAATAGCCAGTTGGTGGAGAAGTCAGAACCCACACATTAATTGTTTAAGTTCACTGTCTTATAGGGACACAGTTTGTGGCACCTCAAAACAATTACAATAGTAACATTTGGATCACTGATCACAGATCACCATAATAGGTACAATAATAAAGAGAAAGTTTGAAATATTGCAATAATCACCAAAACGTGATGCAGAGACATGAAGCAGCACATCCTGTTGGAAAAATGACACTGATAGACTTACTCAAAACAGGGTTGCTGCAAACTTTCAACTTGTAAGAAATGTAATATCTGAGAAGCAAAATAAAACAAAGTGTGCCTGCATTGATTGTTTTTGGCAATCTCTTACTGTGCCTAATTTATAAATTAACCTTTATAGATATATATAAAGAAAATCATAGAATATATAGGATTTAGTTCTATCCACGACTTCAGGCATTCACTGGAAGTCTTAGAACATATCCTCCATGGATAAATGGGCACTACTGTACCAGCTTTGGTTCAAATTTTTGGAAGAGATTTTTTTTCCTGTCTCTAGCCAATACCAAAGTTGATATATGTACATTTTCTTACTGTCCCGTTCTGCATAGTGAGCTTTTTTTCTCATTTACTCTTACCCTCAAAGGGTAAATCTATAATGTCTCAGAATTAGGTAGAAGTCTCCTGTTAAATTCCTAATTTTGGATGCTTTTAACTTTATAGTAGGACCTGAAATAATGGTGCTTCCTTCAATCAATAATGACTTCAAGCCAATAAAATATGGTAATATAATTTATGATACATAATAGAGGCCTAATAAATGTTTGTTTAGAGAGAATGGAGAAGGGATGAAAGGACTAATTGGGCAATAGAGTTTGGATGTTTCTTTAAATAATAGTTCCTTGACCCCATAGATGTTTGAGGGGAGGAGTGTGGTTAATTGTACTGTTAACTTTTGTTTAGATAAGAAAAGGAGGAGTTGGATAAGTTATATATGAGACCCTGGCAAGGTGCAAAGAGAGAGAAAGGCTTAATAATGGAGGTATCAGTCAGAGTTCTGGCAGGAAAGAGATGGCAAACCTAGATGGATGGAATAGCACCTGCCATGGCCTGTTTATGAACTGGACTAGAGCTCTGTTTGCATAGGGTAAGGACCAGAAGCTAAAAACACCATTTTGAAAATATCTCTATGAGCTTCTGTGCATGAGAAGTGCAGTTCTGGGGTCAAGGCAACAATGATACATCCCATGAGACCTCACAGTTTTTGTAGCACCCAATCAGATAATAGTCACCTGGTAAAGTGCTATGTGAGTGTAGGGAAAGAGCACGTTTTAAATAGAACCAGTCTTAGGAGAAACGTTATTCCGCTGAAGAAACTAGAAAGCACAGGCAATGTTTGCCTCCTGAAAAATTACTCCATGTTAAGATTTATAGGTTCTAGGTCTCTCAAATTAGTTGAATCTACTTGGACTTGGGGTTGAAACTCAATGTATAGTAAGTTCCATTAGTGATAAAAGAGAATGAAAAGAATATGGAAAGTTAATAGGCTTTCTAGAAAATATAGCCATTTGTTATTATGGTTCATTATTCTGCTATGTAAAAAAAAAATGGTTAAATTGAGGAAGGGACAAAAAAAGGCTCTGGGGAAAAGGGTATACTTTTCATGGTAAGAAAATAAAGTCCTGTGTTTTCTGGTGCAAGGACAAGTTACTTCTCCCCAAGGTATGACCCTGGCAATTTCTGGTGAAAGCCACAATTCCTAGAAACCCAGACCCAGATATCAGCAGTTAGGAAAATATGTATCTTATGGTTAAAATGAGAAAGCTATGTTCTAAGGCCATATGTAGCAATGGGACACAGTCACAAGGAAGAGAGCCAGGGTCTGAGCAGCCTCAGCAAACTTGGTGCGTGAGATAAGCAATGGTCAGAAAGATGGCCAAGTCAGACTCAGAAAACCCAGGTGGAGTCATGGCAGAACAAAAGGAAACAAAATCCAAATTCGCAGACAAAACTCAGAAAGACACCAATAGCAGTGAGTAAAGCAAGGCCAGGCACCCAAAACTAAGGAGGATGGTGAGAAGGGTCAGCCCTTCCAGAGCCAAAGAGCAGGTCAAGGTGGTAAACAACTGCCGTGACAAATAAGGAGAAAAGGAGCTATACTCTCTTTATGTTTTACCCACATCGGGTAATGCCTCATACAGCATAGATACCCATTACCGATTGAATGAATAAATAGGCCCAACAAGCAGATTTAGAACATTGGAAACAGGTCTTCCTAGTTCAGCCAACTGAACTGGTTTAGCTATCACCTAAATCAGTGCTTCTTAAACTTTAATATGCATAAAACCACCTGGGGATTTTGTTTAAATGCAGATTTTGGTTCAATAAGTCTGGGATGCAACTTGGGAATATGCATTTTAACACAGTTGTGACCGCTATGCTGCTGATCCACAGATCACACTGCTCCACACCAGGATTTGAATAACAACAGCCTTGACACAGAAGCTTGAACTAGCTTTTTGTTAAGGCATAAATCAATTTCAGGAGGGAGGACTGCAAGTAGAAATAAAGAAGCACCTGCCAGGAGTAAGGAGGTGAAGTCTAGTCAAGAATGACAGTTCTTGAGAGGAGTGATTTGAGAAACTCTCTTGTGACTGCTGACAGCTCCTAGCCCAGCAAGAGGAGACCTGGGTAGCTCAGAATTGCACATCAAGATTTTTTTATTTTTGAGGAGGGAGGGGAGATAGAACATTTAAAATTGTTTACTCACAGGAGCCATCACAAGTTTTCATAACCTGAACAAAAATCATCACCCAATGAAGGATTTCATTTCAGCACACTCCATCTGTCTTGTTGCATAAAAATAAAAGTTCAGGGTTTCTTTTTTTTCAGTTTAAGTATGTCACTACAGTAGAGTTTAGTGACATAAAAAGATGATATAAAAATAGAATTGATGGTGTAGCAAAAGGTAGAAATGGGGACTTTATAGACATCGCAGACAGAATTATCATATTAACTCTTTGTAGTCTCCAATTAAATACCTGGCCCCTCCTCTGTCCTTGTACTTACCGTCCTCTATGAACTATAGCATTTGGTCTCCATTTAAGGAAAATTTGCATCATGCTTCTGTCTCTTCTAGACACCTATTGATGCGGCTACCAAGCAACAGAACAACAACAGCAACAACAAAAAGTGATGAAACCCAACTTAAGCTATGATAAACTTCTGTGTTCTAGGGCAGTACTTTCAGAATCACGGACAGCGGCAAACTCCTGTGGAGGCAGATCTCTTTGATTTCAGTATGGGCCTTGCAGCTATCTCCCTCTTGCCACTGTGCAGAGGACAACCATTTTTGACCTGCTGTAAGTGTCCACCCTCTCCTGTCAATTATTTCCCCCTTCCCTATATTATAGGACTGTTCCCCACTGTGCATATACATAGAAGCCAACACAGACTTTTTCCCATAAGCAGGTGTTGCATATATATTCCTAGAATTAGGCACCCATATATTAAACAAGTTTTCCAGGATGTATCTGTAGCTCCTAGACTGTTTCACATTGAATGCCTGCTCTGCTTCAGTATGTCTCTCTCAGCTACTGACTGTCAACCTACATCTGTTCATGTTTATTAAGTCTAGGAGATGGCCTTCAAGACTTTTAAATGAGCGACACTTTAGGATAGGATTCACAATATGTTTCATAGTATAACAATCTTAAGATCATGTGTGAGTAATCAACATTCTAATTTATTGATAACTGAGCAAACTTAAGTTGCCATTCTTCCTAGTGTAGTATAGCAAATGAAACCATGTTTACAGCAGGGGATTAACTCCATTTCCTAAAATCAAAATTGGGAGTAAATAAGTGAGGTAAAAGGAGGTTCCCAAGAGTGATGAAACCAGACAAGAGACCACAGCCAGTGGTCTATCCTTATATGAGGCCAATGCTTACAAATAATAAACCGTCTCTGAGTTACAGAGACTCAGGAGACATGGGCTTAAGAAGCTGATTGATTACAATTAGGGAAAGACACATTGGAATGTGACAGCTAAGAACATTTCTTTTCTTTTTTTCTTTTCTTTTTTTTTTTTTTTTTTTTTGAGACAGGGTCTGGCTTTGTTGCCCAGGCTGGAGTGCAGTGGCACAATCTCGGCTCCCTGCAACTGCAGTCTCCACCTCTGGGGCTCAAGCCATTCTTTCACCTCAACCTCCTGAGTAGCTGGAACTACAGGCATTCACCACCATGCCCAGCTCATTTTTTTTTTTGTATTTTTTGTACAGATGGGGTTTTGCCACATTGCTCAGGCTGGTCTCAAACTCCTGAGCTCAAGCAATCTGCCCACCTTGGCCTCCTAAAGTGCTGAGATTACAGGTGTGAGCCACCGTGCCTGGCCTACATTCCATTTAATGGCATAATTTTTAGGAAACATTATTGTAATTTCCTCAGAATAGGATTTATGGACTACAAGTTTCATGGGGAAGATTCTCCAAAGCTGGCCCTAAAACCTGCAGTATCTGAGGGATAATGGCCTAGAGGATATCTGACATGGTAGCATTAAGAGAAGTAAGAGAGGGCTGGGCATGGTGGCTCATGCTTGTAATCCCAGTGCTCTGGGAGGCTTAGGCAGGAGGATTGCTTGAGGCCAGGAGTTCAAGACCAGCCTAGGCAATATAGCAAGGTCCTGTCTCTACAAAAAAAAGTTTTAATTAGCCAGGTGTGGTGGTGCACATCTGTGGTCCTAGCTACTCCAGAGGCTGAGGCAGGAGGATCACTTGAGCCCAGGAGTTTGAGGCTGCAGTGAACCATGACTGTGGCACTGCACTCCAGCCTGGATGACAGTAAGAGAACCTGTCTAAAAAAGAATAAAAAAAGAGTAAATGACCATAGGAAAGGCACAGTGAAGTGGAACATTGTCACTGGCAGTTATAAGGAACAGAAACTCCATGGGTCTCAGAGTCAAAGGAAGACATTAGGGCTTATTCACCCAGAAATGCGTGCTAAGTCAAGGTCAAAACAATCAACTTTGAACTTGGGTCTTAGTTTTGCCTCCATGCTGGTTTTTGCTAAGGATCCCTCTTGGATACAAGAGCCTTCCTACTCATCATGGAAATAACAGACAAAAACCACTTGATGATGGTGTTATGAGTTTCCTATTGCTACTGTAACAAAATTACCACAAAATTGGTGGCTTAAAGCAATGAAAATGTATTATCTTATAGTTCTGGATATTAGAAACCCAAAATTAGTCTCTCTAGGCTAAAACAGATGTCAGCAGAGCTGCATTCCTCTGGAGACTCTAGGAAAGAATCATTTGCTGTTACTTTTCCAGCTGCTAGAGGCTACCTGCGTTTCTTAGCCTGTGACCCCCTTCTAGCAATCACAGCACCCTGACCTCTGCTTCCATTATTGCATCTCTTTCTTTGATTCTTACTCACCTGCCCTCTATTATAAGGACTCTTGTAATTATATTGGGCCCACCTGGATAATCTGGGCTTCTATTCTTGTCTCAAAATACTTAATTACATTTGTTAAGTTCTTTTTGCTATTTAAAGTAACATATCCACAGGTCCCAGGGATAAGGGTATGGACATACTTGAGGAACCATTATTCTGCCTACCATCAGCCGTGTCTTCACTGAAGGACAAAAAGCATTTATCTATGCTGAACATGGTGAGTAACTCAGGACCCAAAGAGCTCAAGGAAAATGGCTCACTATTCCAAAAGTAAAAGGATTTACCGTAGCCTAGTTTGTCAATTTAAAACCTTTAAACACTTAACATCACTTCTTGCTCCAAGAAACTCTCTCCTTAAATCATTTTCTTGCAATACATCATCATTATTTTTTAAATTAACCAAACAATTACAGCAATTTTTGTGTTCTGAAAACAGGAACATGATAGTTGGCTTCTCTCCCAGAAACCTTTTACATTTCTTTTTACCTATGAGTGTTATGAAAATCATCTCCAACATATGCAACCAGAGCAGCACACTAGCATGCTGCTGTGTCCTGGCTAAAACTCTCCTGGGATGCTCACACCCGAGAGAGCCTGGCAGAATGGCCACTCACTACTTTTGCCCAATTAGAGGAGGATTTTGTTGCTAGGCAGGGGTTTACGCTTACAAAACTTCAGACAGAAATGCTAATCAGAGACTGAAGGCTTCACTTCTCCTGCAATCAGTCAAGTCCTGTCAATTCTACCTCCTTAATCTCTTTCCATCCCTCCCCTTTCCTCTCTAACCTTATGCCTTTTCTCAAGGCAGTGTGACACATTGCAGGGATTCCCCAAAATGACTTGATCGTATTAACCATTTAGGGTGTATATTAAACATGCAGATTCCTAGGCACCTCACTTAAAATTCTTATTCTAAGTCTTGGCAAGGGCTTTGGAATCTAAGTGTGTAATAAATACGCCAAAGTGACTCTTATTATTAGGCTAGGATGGGCAAAACTGACATGATGAAATAGGACGGGCTTAGAAATCAGGCACACCTTTGTTTGAACAAACATTTTTCAAGCCAATGAACTTGGAAAAGTTACTTAGCTACTCTGATCCTGTAAAATGAAGAGTTCATTGGTTGGAGAGTTGAATGGAATCGTGTGTGCATTTCACCGCACACAAAGCCCAGAGTTCAATAATTGTGAATTATCTTCTCTTACCGCCCTTCATGTCTCTCCCTATATTATAATACCTGTCATATTATAGTTTTTACAGCTGAGGGATGCTGACTGACTCTGCAAATGTCACAGAAAGACAACCAGAAACACTTGTCTAAGTCCTGTGCCAGGACCTTCCCTATTTGTCCAGTTGTCAGCTTCATCGTGTAATTACACAGGCTTTCAGAGCTCTCCCTGCTACACAGCTTCCTCTCATTCACAAGAAAATGGTGGGCTTAATCATGTGAGACCTTGTACACCATCATGGGGATTTAGGCTTTTTCCAGTCCTTTGTGATTTTCCTTTCCTAAGGTCTTCAAACTAGATATCCTTATCTGCCTCCCTATTTTACCTACAATCATATCCCCTTCCCCAACAATTGCTCCCTTGCAAGCTCTCTGCTTGACCAGGTCATTTTCCTCCTACTCTATGGGCAACAACTTTACAAGTTTGTCCACAATGCTTTTTACCTGTTCACCTGCCACACTGTTCTTCAAAGCTCACATCATATTGCTTTCCATAAAACCTTCCACAATATCCCTAGACTAACACCCCAGGAATACAGGTTGTCCTTAAACCTTGGGTTACACACAAGCCTTTAAATATGAACCACTCTATGGTGTTCAGTCAGCCGGTAGTCATGGGCCAATGCTGTCTCTCTCCTTGGGAATGGGGACCTCTGCTTCTCCCACCTCAACAGTGTATGCTGTATGAACACACATGGCTTTGATTGATATGCCAGGCATTGTGAAATGCCTTCTCTAACAAATACTTCAGGCTTGAACACCTAATCTTGAGTGGTAATGGAACAGGTTTCTGGGAGATCAGAACAAATGCAGAGAAAACACATTCTACCTTAAACTGTACTTTCTTTCCATAAATATCCTAGAAATGCTGCAAGAAAGCCCCGATACTGTGGAACATACAGGTAGAAAACTGAAGGACTAATACAATTTCCAGTAGCCCAAAGGATAGTAAGCAAGAAAATGAGTTGTGTCCACAGTTAATAATAATAATGTGTTGTATACTTCAAAATTGCTAAAAGAATAGATTTGTAATATTCTCCCCACAAAAAAGTCATAAGTTGGTGAGGTGATGAATATGTTGCTTAGCTTGATTGAGTCTTTCTACAATGTATACATAGATCAAACTATCACAATATACCTCCTAAATGTACACAATTATTATTTGTCAATTAAAAATACATTTAAAATGAGTTAAGCATCCCTTTCTATGCTTTTACAGCTGCCTCTGCCTTCCCAAACTACCCCAGTATTCACTCCCCCACACCTTGGGTAGTCAGCCAAAGTCTCCCACTAGGAATTTCTTGAGACATTCCCTGTATCTCCAGTAGTTATCTTATACCCAGTTCCAAAGTGATGTCTCCCATACCCTGAGCTCACCTCCCCATACACACTAAATTGTAAGTTTCTGGAAAACAGGTACCACATCTTGTTATCTGTGTGTCTTCAGCATTTAGCACAGTATCTGTCACACATCTGCTCTGGAAATGGAGTATGTATGAATGAAGAAATTAATGAATGAATGAATGACTTGACTGATGGTGAGTTAATATTGGTGTCAAACAGAACCCTCTGAAGAAAATGGTCACAGTGACCAAGCAAAGACTCAGAATTAAAGTCTTTCACTCCATGGAGAAAATGGTTTGTTGGAAATAAAGAAAGTTCCCACCTTCCAAATGGAACCCGTATATAACCCAGTGGAAATTATGACTTAATTTGAGGAGAATTCCTATAATAGCAACATGTTGTGCAGAAAACTGAAGATACAAAAAAGACTTTGTCCTTAAGGATGGGCCTCTGCTATAGCACAGGGAGTGTGGCATGGGAAGAAAGTGAGGGTTATGATAAAGATCAGCATTTCTATTGAAAATTTTAGTCTACACATTGTTTTCAAATAAATTATTTATTGAAAAGGCGTCTGTATTAGAAATCAGAGTATCTGAGTTTCCAAAAAAGAGGCCTCACCTCCGATCTTTAGCTTCTTCACCTGTAAAATGAAAAGATCTCTACCCATCTGCCTGGGTTGTTGGGGGGATCAAATAAGAAAGGGATGTGACAGCATTAGAGCTATTAGAAACAGCCCCACAAAATAAGTGACTGAATAAGTCAGTAAGATGAATTTTTTACTGCATCTGAGCTAAGAGCAGGTAGAGCAAGGCTTTAAAAGCAATACTACCATGAATAAATTGTGTGGTGTTGGTTAAGTAATCTCCCCTTCCACAACCTTAGTTTTCTGATCCTTAAAATTAGAGGGTAAGAGTGGAATGATCTCCAAATTACCACTTAACCTAAGATATGATTCCTAAGACCAAATAGAGAAAAGGCAAGGTAAGTTCCCGTTTAATGAATCAAAGAATACCAGCTTCCTTGGGGCATTCATCAGAACAGAGCTCAGGTCCTATAAATCTACATCATACAAGTGACAATCAGAAGCACATTGTCCTCTAGCCTATGTTACAGCTGTGCTTGTTAGCAGCATGTCCCTAGCCCTCATTATCCCCGATGGACCTGAACCATTTGGCCAAAGCCTTACAGGGATTGCCAGAGCTCATAGTTATTTATAGGTGCAGTTCATCAAAGGCTTTGAGCTTTCCTTTGTGGTGAGAGCTGATCTCTTTGACTCTCACTCTATACCTTTTTCTTTTATGTTCTGTCTGTTCTTTAATTCCTTGCATTTTTATGTGCCTTCAGTTCTGATTAATTCGAAGCTGTACAGATTTTACCATACTGATTCATTGGTTGGGAGGGATCAACAAGAGGAGGAGAGAAATACTATACCAATTCAGCACACAGAAAACCTTAGCTCAGAGACCTGAAATGAAGGTTTGAGGGTAATGGGACCAAGAAGCATCACCTGTGTGCCAAATCTGTCACTAGGAACTTTTCATAGGAGTTTATGTTGCTTAGGCTATTTTTATCCAGAGGAATTTGGGTTACCTCTAGTTTGGGAAGATTTTGCAAGAATTCACCTGAAAAAATTGGAAAGACAGGAAATCTGGCCACACTCCCAGGATTTCTGGAAGAGCTGAACAGCCAGGGCTCACAGTCCTTATTAAATAGCTCAAGACTCAGAAAAATCTTTCAGAACTCAGAGCAGCCCTAACAACTGGGTCATCTGGTTAACCTCCTAGGCAGCAGAGGTTCGCATTTATTCTCATGCTATACCATTATGGCAACTCAGCTATCACATTGTTTTCACTATTCTCTTGCTCCTACTCCCACAGCTAACTGCTTTATTCTTTTTCTCTGTCTCAAGTTCTGATTGTTTCAGTTAGTCTCCATTGTTTATGATGAGTAAAACTTCTACATCAAGTCACCTCATAGGCTCTGGTCAATGTACAGCTTGGTTGTCCTTAAACAAGGTACCCATTTCTCGTCTTTCATCTGTGGCCAGGGGAGCATGGGCATGAGATACCATTATAGCAAGTTATATGGAGAGAAACCCTCAGAAGGGGGCTGTGGCGGGGGTGGAGTAGCAAATGTTCTTTTGTGTGTGTGTGTGTGTGTGTGCGTGTGTGTGTGTGTGTGTGTGTGTGTGTGTGTGTGTGAGAGAGAGAGATGGGGTTTTGCTCTTGTTGCCCAGGCTGGAGTGCAGTGGCGCCATCTCAGCTCACCGCAACCTCCACCTCCAAGGTTCAAGCAATTCTGCTGCCTCTCAGCCTCCTGAGTAGCTGGGATTATGGGCATGCAGATGTTCTAAAGCCTAGACTGCCCAGTAAAGTGTTCAAAGTCAGTGTCATAATAGAGCCTGAGATGCCTATATAAACCAAACTTCTCTTCCTATAAAAAACTTATGATCTATAAAAATAAATTCCAACTCAAAAAGCACATAAACAAAGGTTTTAAGAACACTTTTATGTACCATGTTATTATTTTACAATTCATTCTATACCACTCTATTATTCATTGACTAAGGGTTCTTCAATTAGTGAGGTTCCTAATGTGTTAAAATACAATTTACTTTATCAAAGTGTAGTGGTGGCATAACTTCTAAGCATCATCTGTTAGAATGAAGTACACACGTTCAAGGTTGCATTTTATTTAACTAATGGTATTGCTATGGTATTATTTTCTGTGATAATCTATTGCAGAACTGAGTGCTTTAGATACATTCCATGAGACCAGGGCTTTTCTATGAGCTGGAGACCTAAACTGTATTTACAACAGTGTTAAAGGCTCTGCTCATCACAGCAATCTTACGGTATTTGATTCTCTCCATGTCTTGGTAAACAGTGCAAATATGAGGGAAAGGAAACTGTATATTTATCTAAGACAGTGGTTCTCAAACCATGGTCCTAGGAATAGCATATCGTCATCTGAGATTGTTCAAAATGCAGATCCTCAGGCCTTACCCCAAACTTACTGAATCACAAACTTTGTGGGTGGGTCCAGAAATCTGTGTTTTAACAAGCCCCCCAGGTGATTTATGTGCATACTAAAGTTTAAGAATAGTGATCTAGGATACTTGTGTGAGCTTCCTAAGACCCCAGGGAGACTCTATTTTCCCTGAGAACAATGCAGTATACCCATAACTTGGCTAAGAACAAGAGTATTAAAAACAAGATATTAAGACATCTTGAACAAGGTATTAAGACATTAAGAACAAGTATTAAGAACAAGGTAACTATTGTATCTCTAGTTAGTTCTGAGTGAGGGTCAAATCTGGGAGGAAGCCCTACCTAAGGATGAATGCCATATACATTGGTTCTTTTTCACCATTCTCTGTCCTTCCCTTCTGCTTCAGCAGGCTGCCCCTGACCCCACCTCATGTCTAATCTCCTTCAGTTTCCTACATAGAATTTTCTCCTACTTCTTCTGTCAACCCCAAGTCCAAATTTCCTTTCAGACCTACTTCAAAAACGACTCCCTACAGGAAATGGTCTATATTGTCTCTCAATTACATCCATTAAGCATTTATTAAACACCTACTTTTTTTCCTGGCACAAGTTAAAGAGACACATGAGTATCAGACACTGTTCTCATGTCCAATAAGGATGCACAACAAATCACCCCTCTCCTTTGCTTTCACTCAAACCTTTCTCTGCAGTTCCTAGTAAGTTATCACATAATTTCACTTTGGTTTTCACCTTCTTCCAGCATATATTTATCTTCTCTGCTGTTTGACAGGTTTCTTGAGGGCAGTGACCATGATTTTAAACTCATTTGTACATAGTATGTTTCCTAACAGCCTACTGAGCACATGCTGGGGACATGTTGGGTTTAATGAATGAGATCACAAAACAATAGTATAGACATGTGCAGAATGGATTCTATACCTTCACAGTAAGTCTCACTGTCTTTTATTTCTCTGCCTTTTGATCCACCCCTTACCCACTGACTTGGGCTACAAACCAATAAAATCCTCAAGACAACTCATTTGCCTAAAGGTGGATTCATGTTTCTCTATGCGGGGCTGGTGAGGAATCCAAACAAGTGCCAGGCCAGCCACTGGGCCAAATGACAATCCACCAAACTCTTAATTAAGTTTAAAAATACATCTTAAATACTGTTCTTTGGTACCCCTTTTTTTGGTTGGAATGATGTTTGGGCTTAAAAAAATATCTTGTAGAATCCTGACTCAGGGCCAAAGGATGAATTGGATGCCATCAATTAATGGAGTTAGACAGAACCTGCCAAATAAATGACCTGTACATGACCAGAAAGACACAAAGGGGAGTGATGGTCTGTTTAGCAGTGATGAGGTGTCCAAATTTTTCAGCTGAACTAGGTTACAGGCCAAGCTGTATTCTCCAAGACCAGCTGCCTAAAGGTTGCTTACAAATTCCCTTTTGACTCACATGCCAAAGCAATACTTAGGTTTACAGAGCACATACCTGCCTGCCAAGGTAGTTATTTGCAAATATGAACAACGTTTTGCAAGGCTCATATTTGCCAATTTTCCCCTCTTTATAGATCAAAGCTGCAGAGAGCATCATAAAAACTAAACTTCTAGGTAAAGACAGAAAGAAAAGAAGGCAAGATTCCTGTGGCTCTCTTGGAAACTCATGCTGAGAAAATCATCACCATTTTATCCATAGGATGTTGGGGTCTTGAGTCATCAGAAGACTTTGGTACCTGCTACCTGATCTTGGGGCTTTAGTGAAGCCACAAGAAACTAGAAGGACTTGCCATGAAAAATGTATGGTTTTGTGAAAAACAGAGATGAGATGGTAATCTCACTTAGGCTCACTAAGGTTGTCAGTAGGAGGAAGAACCTCTGGTAAGAAAAAGAAGCTCAACTATAGAACCTGGAATTGCTAAAACTATTCACTAATTAGCAGCCTCAGATGTACTCTGTTTTCAAGGTAACTCAACTTCCCACTTAACTCTGACCCAACCATGGACTCCTCTGGGTACTCTGTGGCCAAGCTGTGACAAGACCAGATCATTCAAACCAAATGTCTCTGAAAGACAGAAGATAACACAGAGAAAATAAATCTAGGAGTTGTATGAAACTAGAATGATCTTGTTTACAAGATACGACTTCCTCTTCAGGGCTTGCAGTTCTGCAGCATTGACTAAGGTAATGACATTCAGGTAGTTCTTTTCCTCCTAGCACACATGCTACCATCAGTGTGTTCTAGACATACATGCCTCCTGACTCAGCAGACTGGAGACCAACAATAGGAAATAGGTTTTAATTTTATTTTTCAGCTGTGATCAATAGACAACAACTAACTGCTATGCTGGATTGAGGAGGAGTCTAACGTAGGTTTTATCTCAGCTCAGTGAGGAAATTATATGATGGATTAGTGATGTCTTGCATGGATGAAGATAAGAGGATAAAGAGGGAGTAATCGGGGGATGAATGATAATGCCTGTGCCCGGTATTTGCCATCCTAGTCTAGATCTAAGAGAGAGATGCCAAGAGAGAGGTACAGGATTCTCTCTTTCACCACTCTATGGATCTGACTCCTCTTCCATGACAAATATGTGAATTAAGGCCTCCTCACTTCAGGGAAAACCTTACCTAACCACAGAGGCCCAATTGCCATGTGCAACCATGTTAGATTATTGCATAGTAGCTTCAATATTCACACAAAAGAAACACTAGTATTTTTTTTTTGACACACAGTCCCACTCTGTTGCCAAGGCTGAAGTGCAGTGGCTCAATCTCAGCTCACTGCAACCTCCACCTCCTGGATTCAAGTGATTCTCCTGCCTCAGCCTCCTGAGTAGCTGGGATTACAGGTGCCCGCCACCACGCCTGGCTAATTTTCATATTTCTAGTAGACATGGGGTTTCACCATGTTGGCCAGGCTGGTCTTGAACTCCTGACCTCAAGTGATCTGCCTGCCTTGGCCTCCCAAAGTGCTGAGATTATAGGCATGAGCCACTGCACCCAGCCCATTTTTATTCCTGGAATGAATTATGACAGTTATCTTAGTCTTCCTTTTGGTCACACAAAACCTGGAGTTTCTAAAGTTACAAATAGCTATCACAGGCAAAGAAGCTGACCCTTCTGGGTTACTGTAAGCTTTGCAAAACAGTCCATACTTGGAGAGAAAACCTGACTTGGGCTCATTTACCGTGACTTGGGCTTATTTGTCGTGACTTGGGCTCACTTATCCTTGCTCATGGTGAAGTTTATAGGCATTTCTCATTTCTGGCAAGCTGAGAGAGGAGGAAGAGTTACAAAATGACTTCAGTAAGGGGAAACTATTGCAGGAGAGTGCAAATTGCTAGTTTTAAATACAAATGTCAGAAGAAAGTCTAAGTGAAAGCAGGGGCTGGTATGCAAAGGAAAACAATTATGAATGGGGAAGACCTAAAAAAAAAAAAGACATTCTAGATCAAGAGGAAAGGAGAGGTCCTCCATATGCCCACACAAAGGACATCGGTTAAGGATCATGCTAGACAGCAAGATTGGACTGAATCTCAAGGTGTAGCAACCAGCTTATTTAAATAAGTAAGTCCAACACTTATAGGGACTTTAGATCTAAACAGCCAAGAGCAACAATCAAGACAGGGAAGTGCTGAAACATCACAAGTCAACCTCCATATTCCACATGTGGCCCAATGACAAGCATTTATACAATATGATTGATTACCCTGTAGTTTACTTTGTCAATCAGTCATGAAGTTAATTACATATTACTCTTGGGCACTATTATAAATAAGGGTATAGCAAATAGTGATAAATTTAATGGTCCTTAGCATTCAGCTATTAAATTGATGACACAGTCATATCAGCATTGATGAACATGGACTTTCTTCATCAAGGATAATTTATATCAATAAGTATAATGGGCTATCTCATTCTCCTTTGGCCAACACATTATTCACACTGTTATAGGCAGTGAATCTATTAGTAAATGAGGAAAAAATACGTTTTGTTTTCTGTTTTTTAAAAAAAGACTCCTGATAAATGCTGATTATAAGAAAACAGGAATTTTATATCACGGACATAAAGGTTAAAGAAAATGTGAGCTCACCATAAAACTTGCTGAAATGGAAAATTAAGGTGGATTCTAAAGAGATAACCTGCATCCAACTGTGGCTTCTCCAGGAGGAGCCTTTGAATTGTCCTGTTCACCTACCTAGAATGCTCTTGTCTTCCATCCACTCCCCGTACACTTGGATGATTCCATTCCTCCATCAGTCATTGTTTTAGATGGCATGTCTTCCAAGAAGTCTTCCCTGACCTTCTGGACTGAGTAAGATGCCAATCTTAGGTCAGGTCCTCCAGAAGCAACCCTGAAATAAGGATTCATGTGAAAGTGTTTCCAGAAATAACGGATAGGAGAGTGGAAAATTAGGACCAGAGAGGAGAAGGAGACAAGCAAAAGTAGGATATAAAGCAAAATCTCAGGAGAATTTTGGCCCAATCCTGCCAGGGATATCTAAAAACAGTGTAGTCACATCTCAGTTGTCTCAATGAACAACATTTAAACCTTGCTGTGTGTCAGTCACTGGTAAGGATTTCTCCAAGCACTTCCAGTACTGCACACTCAAGGAGAACAATCTAGCAGTCTCAGGACAGCCCTCCAACAAAGAGGCTGAGGTGCTGAGTGTTGAGAGAGAAAAGACATCAGGAACTCTGGTGTGCCTCAAAATGATAAAGGAATTCAATGTGACAGAGTAGAACATATTGATAGTATCTGCTTCACTGGCCCTGCAAAGGGTTCCTGTAGCACCCTGAAGACTCTCTAAGATAGCATTTACAATGCTGCATTGTAGTTGCTTAGTTACTTATCTGTGTTTCTTGCTAGATTATAGGCTTTGTGATGGAAAAAGCAATGGCTGCCTTGTTCATCATTTTATCTACAGTGACTAGCACAGTACCTGGCCCATGGTTAGTATTCAAAAAATATTTGTGAAAGGAGGGAAAAAGGAAAGGAGAGGGGGAAGTTTGTTTGGTGGAAGTATTATACTAGTGTAATACATTACACACTCAAACAAAAACGAATCTTGGTAAAACATTATTCTTAAAGGAATTATGCAAACCTACTTTACTCATTCTGAGCATGAAAATCTTGGCTGTAAAAGTTGGATATCGTCCATGCAGCCCAAGAGTTCATTTGTAACAGTCCAGTAGGGGCTCTTATATCAACTAGATGAGGGGAGAATAATAAAACTCCTGGTCTGGAATGAAAGCTATAGCCATTTTACTATATGGTCAACCTGAACAAACACAAATATGGCAACAATAATGTTTATATTAATTCCTAGCTTGTTTTTATGAAATATTCTTGAAAATTCTTAGCTAATGTGGGCTAGAGAACCAGCTCCATTCCAATCACATCTAGATTGTATTTTAATCTTTCATTATTCCCTTACATGTATCATTTAACATGTATTTTTTAAAAACTAAATTCTCAGTGGCTTAGTAAAATGAAGATGTGTTTCTTAGTCAAAAAAATCTAATCAAGTTTTTCTTGGGCAGTCTTCATACAATGATTCAGGCATCCTGGTTTTAAACACCTGTGTCTTTATCATCCCACCTTCTTCTAAAGCCTAAAGTCTCACACCTCCAGCTGGTGGATAGGAAAAGAGAATGGAGAGAGCACACCTCATTCCTAACTACTTTAGTCCAGAGGTGAAACACATCACATTCCCTTGACGGTGTCTAGTCAAATGGCTAGGAAATGTACCCACCCATCAATAACCCTACACTGGAAAGCACAAATATTTGGTGGATAGCTAACCAACCATGTCGTTCATTCAACAATTACTTGTAAAGCACCTAAAATATACAAAGTTCCTTGTTAGCTGTTGGGAATAAAATTGTAAGTTAAATAGAAGTGGTTGCAGCCCCATGGAGCTAGCTTACGGTTTTGGGGGTAAATATACATTAATCAAGTAATCATGAAAACATATGATCCCAACTGTGCAATGAAGGAAAAGTACAAGGATAGAATAAAGTTTATAACAAGCTAGATCTAGCCTGAATACCTGAGGAAGGAACATATGGGCTGATATCTGAAATTGGAGGAGGAGTATCTAGAAAAAGTTGGAGAGAAAAGCATTCCAGGCAGAAGGAAGAGCATGTGCCAAGGCCCTGACATAAGTAGGAAAGAATGCCTGTGTGGTTGAAGCCTGACAGTGAGAAGGAAAATGGGGGTGTCAGGGAGGTGGGGGAGTGTTGTGGAATGAGGCTAGAGAAGTAGGCAGAGACCATCAGGGGTCTACAAGCTATGGTAGGGATTTTAGACTTCTTCCTAGTTCTGTTGATTCTTATTATGTGTTTACTATACCCTTCTAGTCACACATTGGTTTATGAAGGTTGTTTATATACATATATTCATACAGACCTTCACTGTTCTTGCCCTTCCTCTCAGTTCTCCACTATTATCAACCTCCTAGAGTATCCTTTCCTTAAGGCCAGTTGATTTCAATGAAAGTTGTCTTCCTCCCCTTGGCTCCATTTCAGCAGGCATAACCAACACTGTGCAGTGCCCCAGGCACACTGTGGGTTCTCATATCTCAGTGCATTTAGCACACACTTGCTGCTCCTTGTACCTAGAAGACCCACATCCTGTCATACTTCAGGCTTCATTGCATTCATCCTTCACAACTCAGCTTCCCCACTCAATTCTACTGTAAGTCCTTCACTGGCTTTCCTCAAACTCCTGGCTCAGTCAGATTGCTATCCACTCCAAACCCACCGTACTCCACATTAAATGCACCACTAGCATAGCACTTATTAAATTGTGTAGTTGGTTTATTTGAACTGACTTCCCCTACTGTGTTCCAAGTTTTTAAGGAAAGGGATAGTTTTCATTTTCATTTCCATATTACCGGTGTCTTGCCATTATTTTATACATAGTAGGCACTCAAAATATAGCATTAATTGAATGAAAAAAATATTTCTCAAACTTCTTTCACAAGACACTAATGTCACTATGAGTTTTACCTAAATTCAGATACATAAACAAGTTATTTTCTTGGCCAAATAAGTTGGGGAAGATTGTATATTATGCCCTAATCTTAACAATTATTGACAATGTAGTAGATGTATAGAATACAAAATTTAAGGAAGCAGCTGCTGTCAGCTTAATGCAAGCGGCAACCCTGCACTTGTAATACCCTAAGAATGACTGCTTCCTTAAATTTTGTGCCCTTGGTGGCTGGTTTACCTCCTCCTAGTAATAGGCATTGCACATTGTCATTTCAAAGGCTCTCAGAGTTTCTGCAATAGCAAAAACGGTTTAACTTCTATCATCTCAGGGTAATCCAAATGTATTTGAGGATCTGGCCCTTTTTAATTTTTCATTAATACCTATTAACCTCCCATAGTACTGATGCTCTTTGAAATGAACTTTTAAAATGCTTTGCCACTATATGGATTAATACATTTCGATGTGTGCTTTTTCAAAAATGATAACCTTTATGTGGGAGATGGATTTAGATAGAAACTTGGGTCCATTTATCAAAAACTACCTTTGAAAATACGTTGAATGTTATGATAGCCAGAAGAAATTTCTAATTAGGTTCTAATAATGTTGCTGGCCTCTCAAAGTAGTTATAGATGAGACCACTTTAAAAGGAGGGCCATTTCCATCAGTGAATGGATGGGTTTACACTTCCAGGTAAAGAAGATCTGTTTTATCTCTCCAAAGACAAATAAATCTATTGGTCTGTCCAATGATGGGATGAAATGAGAAGAAAAGTTCAATTACTTGGGAAATAAGCCTGGTGGGATAGGTCAGTGGCCCTGCTTAACACTGCCAAAATCTCAGCTCTCTGCTTGTCCATCTTGCAAATGTGTGTCTGACTCCATCTCGGTGGAAGGAATAGGATGTCTTCCTGGCTGACTCAAAGAACCAAGTCATTTTATCTCCCAGGAAAGTGATCCACCCAAAAGTCTGTCTGTCATAATTATTGTTTAGAGGAGGAGAATTGCTTCTCTTTGACAAACAGAGTTTCAGTGGTAGCAATGTTAGGCTAACAGCTTAGTACAAATTTTTGGTTTTCTTGTTTCATCGAGGAACTTCCAAGCTGTTTTTCTCACACTAGATAACTAAGCATCATAACTCAGTGAGGGAAAGATTGGCCAGAAATGGCTGAATCTATGCAGAAAGGCTAAGTGATGTAGAAAATAAGCTTCTGGGAACTGAAATAAATCACGTCACAAATAACTAAACAAAATTTCAGGAAAAAAGAGAAATATTGTATTATCTTAAACTTGGTTTCCAGACATTTAGAGGGTGGCTGGAGTAAGTCTACATAAGGTCCCAGCCAGCAGCCAATTCTGCAGTGAGGAGAACCCAGGATCCAGACCCAGGTCAGATATGATGGTTGCCCAGTGGAGCCAAGACTGAGAGAATCCCAAGGATTGGCAAGGCCCTAAAATGTCCTGATGATTTTGTGCCCAAGGATAAACTAGACATTCAGCCCAAGTAATCCAAAGAAATGTCGTGGACACTAGACCAGAGCAGGGACCATGACGAATAGTAGTGATAAAACGGAGGGTCCAGAACCACGTGTGTGAATCTGGCTAGATGTCTGAGTGTCTTTTCATTATCTGAGGGTGGTCAGTCCAATCTACTATAAACACCCAGAATTGGCTTGGACATAGCAGTAGCAAAACTATTTTGTGTGGATCATTCATGTATGATTGGTTAGGAGTAGCTAATTTCTCCATGCTTTTGGGATCTGTATTGTTCTCTTATTCTAAAACAAAATTTCAAGTCCTGAACACCTATGGTGGTTGCATTAGGCAATAATTAAGAGAAGCAAGTAAATGAGTTAGAAATACATAGTAATCAAGTTTCCTGGCTGTGCCAAGACTTCCTCCTGTCTGTCAGTAAATCCCACATTGCCCATTTGTGGTTTGCAGACTGATTAAGCTATACAAATGGAATCATCTGTTCTTTTCTGGTCTTCAAGCGCCTTTTCCTCCTCAGGGATCCAACGGAAGGTTGCCTCCAGGCATCAAATCACAGCAATCAATAAACCACCATGAGTAGCATGGCTCATTTAGAAACAGAGACACAGGCATTTTGCTAGAAGAAACAATGATTACCTGTCATGGGTTCAGAGACTTATGGTACTTATTAGAAGTCAAAGAATGTGAGACTTTTCATGGCCAAATATTAAACTATTCCTTGGCCCTCAAACCTGTTCTTACTGTGATTCACATGTAGGTGAATGGTATGTTCAATGACGTTAACCAAAAGTTTGGGGAGTAATCTTTAATTTCTTCTTCCTCCTTTTCTTCTCCCTCAACTCCAACATCTACATAGATATTGAGACTTATAGTTTTTTCTTCCTTAATATCTTTATAATCTTTCCAGTGTCACAGATTTACTTCAAACTCTCATTGGACTTCTATTTCCCTTCCCACTTCATTCATTCGCTACTTAACAGCCTGAGTGGTATTTCTAAATTGCTACTCTGATCATGTCATTTCTCTGTTTAAAATATTTCACACTGAATTGCCTGCAGAACAAATATGAGTCCATAATGAATGACTCTGACCAAATAATTCTATGGAATGCTCTAGGGCTTAGTAAATGCTGGGGTGGATTGACTTTATAAAAATAGTGAAATACATAGATTATAAGATGGGAACAATACACACTGGAGACTACTAGAGAGAGAGAAGGAAGAGGGTAAGGGCTGAAAAACTACTCATTAGGTACAATGCTCACTACCTGGACCACAGAATCATTCATACCCCATGTAACAAAGCTGCACCTAAAATAAAAGTTAAAATTATTAAATAAATAAATAAATAAAATAGCATTCTGTCTCAGCTTTCATATAATCAGTGCACAGAAAGTTACATAAAACATAGCAGACACTCAAAAACTATTCATTCAAAGAAGAATAAATGAGCCATGCAAGAGAATAAGATTTAAATTCTAACTTCATCCCTTTCTAGCTTAATAATCTCAATAAAGTTACCTAGCATTCCTGGGCTTCAGTGTCCTTCAAAATGTGGTTACCAACACTGGTAGGATTAAATGAGATGTACTTAGAGGACTTAGCCAATGACTTAGTGGCACACAGAAATAATTTAAACGCAGTCTGTATTAGCAGCAAATAGGTTAACATGACAAAAGGTATGTACTTCTTAGGCGTCACCTATACAGGGTACTTTACAAGAAAATTGGGGAGTTGTGACCTCTGACTGCCAAGACTTGGAACCCACATTGCACATATCACCCCTGTATTAGTCAGGATTCTCTAGAGGGACAGAACTAATAGACTAGATATATATATATAAAGGGGAGTTTATTAAGTATTAACTCACCCAATCACAAGGTCCCACAACAGCCATCTGCAGGCTGAGGAGCAAGGAGAGCCAGTCCGAGTTCCAAAACTGAAGAACATGGAGTCCGATGTTCGAGGGCAGGAAGGATTCAACATGGGAGAAAGATGTAGGCTGGAATGCTAGGCCAGTCTCTCTTTTCATGTTTTCCTGTCTGCTTTATATTTGCTGGCAGCTGATTAGATGGTGCCCACCCAGACTAAGGGTGGGTCTGCCTTTCCCAGCCCACTGACTCAAATGTTAATCTCCTTTAGCAACACTCTCACAGATACACCCAGGATTAATACTTTGTATCCTTCAGCCCAATCAAGTTGACACTCAGTATTAACCATCACAACCCCTAATCAGTCAATCAAAAGGCATTTACTCAGGTCTCATCATGCAACTGGAATTCATGTTTTTCAATAAGGTTAGGAAATCTTTCCTCCATATCAAATGAGGATTTTGCAATTTTAAAAGTTTAGTTTGATGTTCCAGTGGAAAGATCAACATCTGTTGGAGTTAGAGCTATATTAAGTAGAAATTAATGATTTTAGAGTTTGCCTTCTAAAATCCCTCTCTGTTAGAATTGTCTTTAGTGAGCCATTATCATCTAGAATGGATCCAGTGACATAGAACAGAAATCTGGAAGTGTGGGGCTCTATTAATAAGAAGTATGATGCAATTACTCTTCCAAAGTTGATCAAGTGTGATCCCACTGATAGATGGAATGACACCAGTAAAGAAAAGGTAAATCCTTAGATTTCTAAATCATTTTAAGAATAGGACAAGAATTTAAGGAATATTAAGTCCAGTTCTTTCTCCAGGTAAGACAGCCTTTAGCCCCTGGAAAATGAAGAATCCTATCTTAAAAAGGTAATGGCCATTCTCTGACCAATGCTTCTTCAACTGAGGACTATGCAGAACAATTGTTTTTGTAAATCTTGATTGGATTTGAAAGGAAAATCTTTTCAGAATGCTGAGACTCTTTCTTCAAAATGCCTGTCTCCTCATGGTGTCTCTCCAATGTGAGATGTGGACAGATTTCTGTTTTGTTTCACAGCACATATGGCAGATACTGTGTCTCAGCCTCTTGAGCTCTGGAACTAGCACAGCCTTTCTGTCTTATAACCCTGGGGTTGTAAGGTTATGAAGTTACAAATTATGTACCTAACCTAAATTCTAAATAAAATATGGATTTCTATATCACTTCCTACTGATACTCTAAAACATTTGAAGAGATTTATTACTTACTTAGCATTTGTGAAAAGTGCTCCAAGATTCTTGCATAAAAAATCCATCACATTTTGCTTTTGTTCACTCACTCATTCATCCAAGCAACACTTATTGAGTCCCTATTAGGTGCCCACTTTAATTTTTCATTTTTTCCAAGTATAATTAATGTCTATTTTTACCACTAGACTGTAAGATTTATATAGAGATTAGTCCATCTATCTTCCCATCTTTATTGCTGTTTAAATTGCACTTATGTATCTTTTTTGCTGTTCTTCTATATACTGCACATATATCATTTCCCAACACAGTGTGGGTACTCAATAAAGACTTGATAATGAGTGAAAATAAACCATCAAATAAGATTGCTTCCTGCTATGAAACAGATCCAACTCATCCAAAGTAGGTCTAGAAAATACAGACAGGTGGAGATATAAGTCATAGAGACAGAGAGTCCTAAACCCAAAAAAATTGTAAAGGAGAGATACTTATAATTTCAGAACTTTTTATAGCAGTGCTTCATCAGATGTTAAAAGTAGTATGCATCATACCTCAACAGCCAACTGGTCTATTCTGCCTTATTGAGTATCTATGCATTAACTAGGAATTGTGTTCATATTTGCAATTCACATAATAAAGTTTCCTGAATCCAACCACCCATCAGTCCCCAAATAAAATAACTGGTTCTCACATAGATATTACACCTGTAAATTTGGTAGAAGAGAGTGGTACAGGTTGAACCAGTGCAGAATGACTTTGATAATGAAGACAGAGTTCTCATTGAAAGCCTGGGGCATAAATCACTGTCAAAGCCTGTCTCTTTACTCTGTCCACACAACCATGGGAGTTTCAGTCCTCCTAAGGAGTAGTGAGGTGTGAAGTTAAAAGGTTTGGACAAGCATTTGGGAGCCTCTGAGGCTTATCTGAGCTAACCAAGCCTCCCAAAGCCATAAATCTCCAATGAAAGCTTCCAAGAGTGACATATTTCTTGTGGAATGTCCCCTAGCTTGGCTGCAATCCAGAAGAGCAGGGATGTGTGAACTGACAAGATAAAGCCAACATACCCATTGCCCTTCCATCTCCTCCTGGGCATTTCTTAGTCTGGCTTTTGTGAGTGTAGTAACATTTTAGGACTGTATTTGCCTACTTACAGCAATACTGCATTGAATTATCTTAAGGAAACAGGATGGCCCTTGATTGTTGTTTTCTCTCTATGGATGGGTTTTCTGTTGTTGTTGTTGCTGTTGAATTGAAGAACACAGTGGGAGCCAGGACATAATTGCTACCATAGTCACAAACCACAGACTCCTGGGTATTCTGTGTAGTGTTTCTGAATATGTCCAGAGACCACATGCATCCAAATTAGCAAGTTGCTTGCTTCAAAGGCAGATTCTTGTAACCCACTCCAGACAAGTTAATCAGAATCTCTGGAGGTAAGTCCTGGAAATCTGAAATTTAACAACTCTTCTTAGGTGTACTAAATTCTTAGACATAAAAACTTTTTATTGTGGTTCCTCCAATGCAAATTAGTGTTTTAACAGATGAGGACTGAGACCCAGAGGAATAGAATGATCTGCCCAACGTCTCACAGCTGGTACACTGGGACCCAAATCTGTGCCTTCCCAGGTCTGTCCTTGATTCTCTACAACATCCCCCGCATCTCCTAGGGCATTCACCAAAGCATAGCACGAGTCCTATAGAGAAGTGCTTTGAGATACTTGCACCATCTCTGGGGCATGTAATCTGAGGGAAGAAGAGAGCCTTAACTGGACAGATTACATTCCAATTCTGTGCAGGCTATCATGTAAACAAGAGAGTAGAGAAAGTATCTCTACACCATCCGGTTGTCCCTTCAGGCTCCCAGCAAATTTTCCTGCTCTACCTGTCCTTACCTTATGCTTAGAAGAGGGTCTGGTATTAGTAATTTGTTCTTCTGTATAAATAAGATAAAGAAATGTTATACTTGCATATGTTGTTTACCAGGTACTACCAGGTTTTTATTTGCTCTTGGAAGCCTTCCCTGACTATCTGCAGTGAACACTCCCAGACAACCCTTGGTGCAACCTCCATTTTTGCCACCTCCACTGCATCACTATTATTTATTTGCACGTCCATCACCTGCACTATATCATCAGCATCTTGAGGGATGAAACTGTCTTGCATTTTTATATTCTCTTTGCCAGCTCAATTCCTAGTCTATTGTAGTTGATAAAAAAACGTGTGTGTGTATATGTGTGCTTGTGCATATAATAAATCCTTGCAATGACCTGGCAAATAGAACAAAAAGTAATTCCCACCATAGAGATGAATGAACTGGGTAGCCAAAGGCAAAGTGATATGAGGATGATTACCTAGTTGTCCAGTGAAACAGAGGAGATTTGAATTGAATTCTGAATGACCCCGAGAATGCTGCTGTTTCCACCATACCAGAGCACTACCAAGTTCCCTTTCACCATCAAAGTGTTCTCTCTCCTGAAGGTAGTGACTTCTTTAACCAATTCTCTGATTTTGGAAAAGGAAGTTTTGCCCCATTAATGAAAATGTAGTGCATTAATTAAAATGCAGAATGTAAACTGAGAACTGATTTAGAAGAAAAAGAAAAAGTAGCAAAGTCCACAGCCAGAGAGTCTAGAATCAGATAGAGAGCAAGATATAAGGAGCACATAGAGGTAAATGGTGCGACAAAGTCTGTAAAAGAAGTTTATGCTTTGAGATGCCCCTTCTACTAAATAATATGGTCTGAGTTTCAGGATTAGAGGAAGCCTTATTAGTCTGGACACATGCTGCTAATAAGGAAGGTGGTATAACCCCAAGACAGCACAGAGCACTCCACACAGATGTTATGCCCTAGATGCTCCACGTTTCCTCTCGAGGCGGGGTCAGAGTGGGAGAATAGGCTAGGCAGGGAAAATGAGTGGCGGATGACTGTGCACAAACTCATTTATGAGGCCTGTAGCTGGTGGTATGCCCAATATTTATAATAGATCTTAAAACAAAGACTGGTGGAAAGACCTGCATTTTACTTGGTCTTGCTCCATCAAGCAAAGCAGACTTCTGATTCCCCTCCCCTTTTAAAGTTAACCCTTCAATCATTTCCTTGCAAGTTTCAAACAGGTCTTTGGACACATTCATCTACAGGTCACTTGGCTACTTCATGGCATGGATCATGCCATACCCTTCTCCTATGTATCATCTCCTGTTTGTACTACCCTTGAGGCTAATAATAGCTAAGGGCCCTTCTTCACTGTCATTGTATTAGAAGCTCACATGAAGCATTAACCCATAAACCAGGGAGAGTCATGTTACATGGATCCCAAAAATTCCAGCACCATTTCCTCTCTTTGCTGTTGCCTTGGTGCATGGATACCTTAGTGTGTGAATATCAATGCCATCTATGGCTGCTGGACATCCCAGATGCTGGTACTTCTACCATCCTTTCACCCTCAGCCCCCAAGAAACAACCCAACTGCATAGAGATATAGATCAACCCTCAGGATGCCCAAAACTGGATTCCTGGGGCTCTTGTTTCATCAAAATCACTTCCTCTGTTCTCTTGACCCATGTCATTATATTCCTTGCTGTTTGGGGAAAAGACACTCTTTAAAGCTGGCTTTGTATTTATAGCCACCTCCCTAGAACTGAGACATGAGTCTGTGGAGACAGAGCCTGGGGACAAACCTGAGTAATTGTCACCAGACTTTACTTAGCTGTGCCTCACCCCTCCAGCATCCAGTTCTTTTTTCCTGGACCCATCTTGCCAGCATACTTTCACCTCACCTTAGGTTGAGTCCATCAGAAGATACTCAGGCCCTTGTACAGACAGATTTCCACTAGTCCTGCCCACCAGTCTAGACAAGGGATGAACATGACTGAGGCCCCAGCCCAGATCACCACTTCTGGAATTACATCTATGTAATTTTGATTTAAGAAATTCTCTCCTTCATTTAGGTCCTATTTATGGCCATCTTATAGGGTCTACCCTCTGGTAGGAAGAGTTCTATTTCATTCTATTTGGCATTCTGCACTGCCAAATTCAGAAGTCCAAATCAGAGTGTTCATGTTGTAAATGAAAGGTTTTCTTTTAACTCCCATCCTAGCAGCTAGGTTGATGTCAGAGGGTTGTTGTCAAGTCTACAGTGAGAAAAAGACAATAAAATTAAGGGACAATAATCAAGGGAACTTGACCCCTCTTCCCATGTACACAACTGGCCAAAATCTACCCATATTCAAGTCACAACCTCCAAACAAGCTGAGATATATATTTGGTATTATTTTCATAGATGTTTACAGTCCTGTACAAAGCATTAAACTAATTTTGTGTCAAATGTTGTCACTGAATTTTTAAAGAAATACATCATTCCAAATACTAAATTATGGATCAAATTCTCATAAATCCCTAATAATTGGTGGACCTAATTATGATTATATGTATTTGCCTAAGAGCTCCATAAAATGATAAAGTATTGCTTGACTTCCTAAAAGCTACAGTTAGAAGACTGGTCTAGACTGAGTGGTATGAGAACACAGTTTGCTTTTTACCTTTCTGACCCAATTGGCCTTTAATTTTGATGGTCTGCATTTAAAATTCATTTTGTGAGTAAACCCAGCGAGGCTCCTCCTCCATGGACCACTTTGGGTAATTTTTTTTTGGCGGGGGGGTGGGGGGACAATTTTAAAGAGTGTCTATTATCAAAGAGAAATTTTAAAACATGTATATTTATACCATGTGGTTGGACATCGTAGAATTAGCTGGTAAAAAACAAAAGAAGGAAAAAGGAAAAAGTGCCATTGGAAAGGTACATAGCAGAAGTAAACTATGAAGCTATGTGGTATAGTGAAAAGGGCCCAGGATGTGAAGAAATAAAGCCAGATTCACGGCCTAATTCAATTCTTGCTAGCTCTGTGTTTTGGAATAAATCACCTTCAGTTGCTTTATTGTATTTCGGGATCATCATCTATAAAAAATGGAACCTCCCATCTCATGGACCTCTGGTGAGGATCACCACGAGACAATAAACAAGTGACTTTTAATTGTCAAAGGGATATAATGATACCTAACAAAAGAAAACAAAGGGAGTATTGTTCATCAGGTATTGATAGTTAACAATTTTATTGCTTTAATATAATTATCCCAGGCTTTGGAACAAAGATTGAAAAAGAGATAAAGATGCAATACCACATAACTGGAGAATTTTAGACAGGATCTCAGAGAGCATTCATTCCAATTCTCATTTCCAGACACATATTTTATAGAGTAGGAAACTGAAGTATGGAGGAGTTGAGAAGCTTGCCCAAGGTCTCACAGCATTATCCTGAGAGCTTGAAATAGAACTCAGGTCTCCTGCTGTCCAGCTCCCAGCAACCTCTACAATCCCTAAAGCTGTTTCTAGAATCCCATCTCTTCGATCCTGTGCCTACAACCCATGTCAACAACCATTAAAGCATATTATTCAGTTCAATTGCCTCCTTTAATAATTAACCAGTTTATTACAATACCTTCCCTTCCCCTTGCAGTGCAGAGACAGGGCCAAACACTCAGAGAATTGTCATAGACTCAACTCAGGGAGAAAGGCCTCTTTTGTTTGCTCATCAAACATTTATCTGAGTTCTTACTTGTGCCCCAAAACTGTGCTACCTTGATAAAAATCTCAGTGATCAGAAGTCCTTCAAGTGGTGGATATACTCACAAGCCAGTGATTACCATGTAATTAGCAATATGTTAAAGCAAATATAAATGGATTACATAGAAGCTTAGAACATGGTATGACTAAGGAGCCAGGAGAAATTTGACAGAGATTTCTACTTTACCTGGAAAAATGATAAGTTGTGACATAAAAAAATAAAAATTTTAAAGCCAAGAGAAAAAGAACATATTTCCTTTAACTGTGAGAATTGTGCACTGATCAGCAGCAGTTACGTTATGTGATGATCACAGTTTGGACAGCTGGTTTCTGCCCACCAGGAACTGAATCAGATTCAGATCATTTGAACTCTGATGTCAAAGTCAGTCATATTTTCAACACCCTGGATATTCTTTTTTTAATTATTATTATACTTTAAGTTCCGGGTTACATGTGCAGAACGTGCAGTTTTGTTACATAGGTATACACATGCTATGGTGGTTTGCTGCACCCATCAACCCATCATCTACATTAGGTATTTCTCCTAATGTTATCCCTCTCCTAGCATCCCCCCACCCCACAACAGGCCCTGATGTGTGATGTTCCCCTCCCTGTGTCCATGTGTCTTCATTGTTCAACTCCTACTTATGAGTGAGAACCTGCAGTGTTTGGTTTTCTGATCTTGGATATTCTATAACAGCAGTAGTTGGTTAACCCCTCTGTTCTTAGTTTCTTCATCTGTTCAGTAGGGATGATAATAATAATGTCTCACTGAGAGGATTACTGTGAAGATTAAATGAGTCAGAGCATGACAAATGCTTACAACAACACCTGGGACAAAGTGAGTGTTCAATAAATGTTGGCATTTTAGTATGAGAGGACCAATTGAGTGTCACTGAAAACTCGTTTCAGAATGTTACTACATGAAAACCAGGGAAGAGGTGAAGAAAGTTATATCAGTCAGAGTTCCTCCCAAGAAACAGAACAATGAGGATGTGCATATATTAAGACATTTATTGCAAGGAATTGGCTATTGTTGGGGGCTGGCTAGGCAAGTCCAAAATCTGTATATCAGGCCATCAGGAAGGGCAGACTGGAAATTTTAGGGCAGGAGCTAAAGATCCTGTCCACAGGCAGAATTTATCCTTCAGAAAAGCCTCAGTGCTGCTTTTAAGGCTTTTCAATTAATTGTATCAGGCCCATCCAGATTATTGAAAAAAATTTGCTTTACTTAATTTTTTTTTTTTTTTTTTTTTTTTTTTTTTTGAGACGGAGTCTCGCTCTGTCGCCCAGGCTGGAGTGCAGTGGCGGGATCTCGGCTCACTGCAAGCTCCGCCTCCCGGGTTCACGCCATTCTCCTGCCTCAGCCTCCCAAGTAGCTGGGACTACAGGCGCCCGCCACTACGCCCGGCTAATTTTTTGTATTTTTAGTAGAGACGGGGTTTCACCGTTTTAGCCGGGATGGTCTCGATCTCCTGACCTCGTGATCCGCCCGCCTCGGCCTCCCAAAGTGCTGGGATTACAGGCGTGAGCCACCGCGCCCGGCCGCTTTACTTAATTTTTAACAGCTTTTTTGAAATATAATTGGTGTGTAAAGAATTGCACATACTTGATGTGCACAATTTGATGACTTTTGACATACGCAGACACCTGTGATACCATCACAAGCTGATTGACATATCCAACACCTCCAAAAGTTTCCTTGCATCAATTTACTTATTTATTTGTTTGTTTGTTTGTTTGTTAGAACACTTAAAATGAGATCTACTCACTTAACAAATTGTGAAGTGCACAATACTATACTGTTCACTGTAAGCACTATGTTGTATATTACCTCTCTAGAACTTATTCATCTAACATGACTAAAACTTTATACTTATTAAACAACTCCCCAGTTCGCCACCTTCCAGCCCTTGGCAACCTCTATTGTATTCTCTGCTTCTATCAGTTTGACTATTGTACATGCTTCATTTAAGTGGAATCATGCAGTATTTGTCCTTCTATGACTGGTTTAGTTCACTTAACATAATGTTCTCCACGCTCACCCCTGATATGGTTTGGATATTCATCCCTTCCAAATCTCATGTTGAAACGTGATTCCCAATGTTGGAGATGGGGCTTGGTGGGAGGTGTTTGGGTCATAGGGGTGGAGTCTTCCTGAATAGCTTGGTGCCCTTCTTGCTGTAATGAGTGAGTTATTGCTTTGAGTTCACACAAGAGCTGGTTGTTAAAGAGTCTGGCTCCTCCTCCCTCACTCTCTCATGCTCCTACTCTCACCGTGTTACATGCTGGCTCCCCTTCACCTTGCACCATGATTGCAAGCTTCCTGAGGCCCTCACCAGAAGCAGATGGCAGCACCATGCTTTCTGTATAGCTTGCAGAACCATGAGACAACCTAAACCTCTTTTCTTTGTAAATTACCCAGGCTCAAGTATAATGATGTAAGAACACACTAACACAGTCCCTGTTGTCACAAATGGCAGTATTTCCTTCTTTTTTAAGGCTGAATAATATTTCATTGTATGTATATGCACCACATTTTCTTTATCCATTCATTCATCAATGAATATTTAAGTTATTACCATACCTCAGCTATTGTGAACAATGCTGCAATGAACCTGAGAGTGCAGACATCCTGTTCAAGATGCTGATTTCACTTCTTTTGTATTTCCACCCCAGTGTGGGATTGCTGAATCATATGGTAATTCTATTTTAAATTTTTTGAAGAACCTCCATATTGTTTTCCATAGCTGCTCCACCATTTTATATTCCCAACAACAATGTACGAAGGTTCCAATTTCTCCACATCCTCACCAATACTTGTTATCTTTTGTGTGTGTACATTTTAAAAAATAATAGCCACCTTAGCAGGTGTAAGGTGGTATCTCACTGGAGTTTGATTTGCATTTTTCTGATAATTAATGATGCCAAGCACCTTCGTATACACCTGTTGGCCATTTGTATGCCTTCTATAAGAAATGCCTATCCAAGTCTTATGTCAATTTTTTTAATTGAGTTTTTTGTTTGTTTTGCTATTAAGTTAAGTTGTAGGAGTTTCTTGTTTATTTAGACAATTAAACCTTTATGAGATACATGGTTTAGAAATATTTTATGCCATTCCATAGGTTGCCCGTTAATTCTGTTGATTATTTCCTTTCTGTGCCGAAGCTTTTTAGTTTGATGTAGTCCTACCTATCTATTTTTGCTTTTATTACCTGTGCTTTTACCATTATATCCAATAAATAATTGCCAAGACCAATGTCAAGACTTTATCCTTATGCATTCTTTCTTCTAGGAGCTTTATAGTTTCAAGTTTTATGTTTCAGTCTTTAATCCATTTTGAGCTGATTTTTGTGTGTGATATAAGGTATAGGTCTAATTTCATTTTTTATGTGAATATCCAGTTTTCCCAACACAATTTGTTGAAGAGCTATTATTTCCCCATTGTGTATTATTGACACCCTTCTCAAAGTTCAGTTGAATATATATGAATAGTTTTGGTTTTGGCCTCTCTATTCTGTTCTATTGGTCTATTTGCCTATCTTTATGCCAATAAACAATATTTTAATTATTGTAGCTTTGTAATGTATTTTAAAATCAGGAAATGTGATGCCACCAGATTTATTCTTCTTTCTCAAGATCATTTTGGCTATTCTGGGTTGACAAAATTTAATACAATTTCATGATAAAATCACTCAACAAACTAGGTATAGAAGAAATGTACCTTAATATAATAAAGACCATCTATGACAAGCTCACAGCTAACATCATACTCAATAGTAAAAAAATTAAAAGCTTCTTCTCTAAGATCAGGAAGAAGACAAGTATGCCCACTCTCATCATTTCCATTTAACATAGTCCTGGAAGGCCGGGCAGGCGTGGTGGCTCACGCCTGTAATCCCAGCACTTTAGGAGTCCGAGGCAGGCAGATTACGAGGTCAAGAGATTGAGACCATCCTGGCCAACATGGTGAAACCCCATCTCTACTAAAAAAAAATAATAATAATAATTAGCTGGGCATGGTGGTGTGCGCCTGTAGTCCCAGCTACTTGGGAGGCTGAGGCAGGAGAATCGCTTGAACCCAGGAGGCAGAGGTTGCAGTGAGCCGAGATCATGCCACTGCACTCCAGCCTGGCAAAAGAGCAGGACTCCATCAAAAACAAAACAAACAAACAAACAAACAAACCATAGTCCTGGAAATTCTAGCCAGAGCAATTAGGGAAGATAAAATAAAAGGCAAACAAATCAGAAAGAAGAAGTAAAGTTATCTCTGTTTACAAATGATATAATCCTATATGTACAAAACCCTAACGGCTTCACGAAAATAAACTATTAGATCTAATAAAGTAATTCAGGATAAAATAAAGTTGCAGGATACAAAATCAATATATAAGAATTAGTAACCTTTCTATATATTTACAATGAACCATCTGAAAAGGAAATTAAGAAAATACTTCCTTTTACAATAGCATCAAGAACAGTAAAATACTTAGGGATAGACTTAACCAAAGAGTTGAAAGGCTTCTACACTGAAAACTACAAAATACTGATGAAAGAAATCAAAGAATACACAAATAAATGGAAAGACCTTTCATGTTCATGAATTGAAAGACTTAGTGTTCAAATGTCTGTACTACAGAAGTAATCTATAGATTTGAAGTTATCTCCATTAAAATCTCAAAGGCATTTTTTACAGAAATGGAAAAAGCAATCCTAAAATTCATATGGAACCACAAAACCTTCTTTACTTTAAAGTAAACTGATTATAAAATGTTTAACCACATATATAAAATAGATGATTGTTGTTTGATTGAATAACTGGGAACTGCTAGCCAGATAGCCTTGTTGACACATGAAGCTGACCATCACAAAAAGCTAGTGTACAATAAGTTGGCATAGCACATTTCTTTTAATGGGTTCAAGGCAATCATAAAACAAGAGTAGGAGGGAGTAACCCGATCCCTCAGACCCACTTATCCATGCATTCTACAGACAGAGCTGAAGACCCCAGGGACAATGCACAGACTACTTGGCTTTGCATCCTTTTGTGTGGAAACAGTGAGCAGGTTCTTCCTCTGTACTGTTTGGTGTGCTCACTAAACCTTAGAGGATTCTAGTAGTTTACAGTTTCAATCAAAGAATGGGGATTTTACACAGAGCAGACTCATGAGACCTTGATTCTAAGTTCCTGCTTCTATTAAGAGGTAGCATGGCATAACAACAACAGTAACAAATATATATACATATATATGTGTGTGTATATACACACACATATATATGTATATCAGCTATGACATTAGACACCTGGGTTCAGATCCACTTTTGTCACTTACCAGGTGTCTAGTCAAGTCACATTCCCTCTCCAAGCCTGTAAATTGCACCTGTAAATGGCAGTTAACCTGTAAATAGTAATAATATTGTCGTGTCATGGTTATTGTAAAGAATTAAAGACCATAAACACAAATGGCCTGGGTTTATAAAAGATGCTCAGTTAAGACAAGCTATGATGCTTAACTTCCTTTATTTCAAGGATTACCTAGTGTTAGTTGTGTAGTTTCAGGAAAGTTCCTTCATCTTTCTGTGCCTCAGTTTCCTCATCTGTAAAATAAGCATACAATAAGTTGTTCTGTGGACTAAGGGAGTTAATATGTATGAAGTGCTCTGAACAATGTCTGGCACATAGTACGCACTATATACTTTTTAACTATTATAATTTGTGTTTGTGTGGTAGTGATGAAATCAAGGAGGTACGAAAACCAGATTTTAGTCCACTCTGTACTGGGTGAACTGGCAGAAGTCACTTATCTGTCATCAATTTTCTTTTCTGTAAAAGGAGGGGGTTAATTAGACTATCTGTCAAGCTTATGCATTTTTAAAGATATTATACCTAAACTGCTCTGTGAGATGTAAGAACCTGAGAAGGTTTTCTGGCTTGTGATAGTTTTGAGGTGCTATGCTCTCACAGATGTGTCAAGGCCTTCTTATTGATTCACACCAAGGACTCTGCCTCTGTCTCAGTTTTTCTGCAGGGTGGTTGATCTGTTTACTTTTCACCAAGATGCGTTCCTCTGTCAGCTGCATCAGAGCTGTCATAAGCCAGCTTCATGCCAGGGAGAGAAGGAAAGACAGTGTTTTTATTGGTCTGTTTCACTGTGTCTTTCTTCCTTTGGGATCCCTTCTCAGAAAGGTCAAAATAAAATTCTGCAACTGCCCTGATGAGGAATGCTAGCTGATTGAAGAAAGAGACCCCTGTAAGCAGCACTGCCTGCTGCTGAGAGGCCCCTGATGGAGTTCTGCCAAGCCTGACTCATCCTCCAGCTCAGGGAGGCCTGCTGGTCACTCCCTTTCTGCCCCAGCCAGAGAGCACATTGCAAACATCTTAAAGACTTGAGGTTGGCAGCTTAAGGGGGAACAGTAATTCACCAAAGCATGATGGAAAATCTAATGGAGGGCAATGAAGGGGTGAATGGGATGTGTGCCCTGTCCCCTAAAGAAGGGAACTCCTGCTCTTTCCCATTTCAGGGTAGTGTTAAAAAAAAGTTGCTCCCACTTCTTTTCTTCTATTTGCTTCTGCCTCCTTTGCCTTTTTATTTGCTCCTTCCAAAGGTAAAAGACTAAGTATCTGATGTCAGATGCAGGCATTCAGTGAGCTGTACTTACTATCAGGCAAAGTTATGAGCCTCAAATACAAGGGCCCAGAAACCACTCTTCTTCCTCTTTCTATGTCTAAGCCCAGCAAGATTTCTTCTGCTCCTTTCTCCAGGTAAGGAGTGTGTGAATGCCAGGGTCAATAAGGAGGGGCTGGCACAAAGAGAGAAAAATATCTGATTGTAACAGCAGATCAATTCAGTGTTCTACAATGTGATGATCACAGTGCACATCCTGAGTGATTTTCCAAATTACTGAATCATTTACTTGTTCCACTGTTCATTGAAAAATGAGGTAGAACTTCATCCTACCTTGAATTAAAGGGCTTCCCATCACTCCTGTCAAAGCTACATTGCATTGCATAGCATTTCAAGCAGAATGAGCTAAGCCTTTCATTGACTTCATTTTGTATCCTTTGTGACTAGAACTAATCTTAGCATTTCTGAATTAGAAGAAAGTTTAAAAACATCCCACCAAATTTTCCATAACTGTCTGCTTGACTTTACTACATTTTTTGCATGTGGTCCTGCAGTTTCTGCTTGAACATTTCCAGCAATAAAACACTTTTTAACAAACAGATTCCTTTGTTTGGTACAGGTTTATTGGAAAATACTTCCTTTGTTATTTCTTTGTAACCTCTTAAAATTCTGTTTTTCCTACTTTTGGAATCAGAAAAAAATAAATTGTAATGCCTATTCCTACGATAGTACTTTAAGTACTTGGATGGTTCTTAGACTAAGTTATGCTGCAGTAATCTCAGTGGCTGAAAATAACAAAGGTTTATTTCCTACCCACACATAGGTCATCTGAGAGTTCTGTACTACCCTCACTTAGGGACTCAGGTTGGCAGAACAGCCATGGTATTTCCGTGGAGCTCCACTGCTCCACAGTATTTCTGTAGAGTTCCACCCCTAGATTTACCTGTCAAGCTGTCTCTCCACAGTCCTGCTCCCCATTCAGTTCTTGGTCATTGCAGTGGGCCATCTCATGCTGCTCTCTGGTCTGCTTTGTCCCCACAACATGGACACAGCCCCTCTCCTTTATTCTCCAAGTCACCATCAGCATAATGATGTTATGGGTAGCAGATTTGCTGGAGTCTTGGGGTTAATGGAAGAAGGGCAAATTGGGAGAGGGGAATGGAAGGGTGACGTATATAAATAATCTCACCTTGAAAATTAGACATCATAGTTTCCAAAATTCCTTGCCTGTCTCTCCCCTCCTCCCACCCCAAACTTGGGTCCATCTTCAGCCCTCTGAGGAAACCCACCCTAATTTCTTCTCAATTCTCATGTCTTGGTCCCACCTCTGTGTCTCTAGTTGTTATCAAAGAGAAAATTCAACTTGACCATTACCTTTTTCAGCAGAGAAATGTAGCTCCTTTTGTCTTAATCTCTTCCATTCTTATTTATTCTAATGAATTCTCCTTCCTAACCAAAGGGCTTCTTAATATTTCTTAGGCAAAATAATTATCTGCCAAATCCTCCATATTTAAAGAGATAGCAGAAGCTGAGAAATTAGTTTTTCTTGATGTCTTAAAAAGGTCATTGCAAATGTTTTTCATTCCTACCGACCCCATTTTAGAGAAACTTTCAAAGACTGTAAGTGTGAGGGTTAATATTAGGGGTCAACCTGATTGGATTGAAGGATGCCTAGGCAGCTGGAAAAGTCTTGTTTCTGGGTATGTCTCTGAGGGTATTGCCAGAGGAGACTGCCATTTGAGTCAGTGGACTGAGAGAGGAAGACTCACCCTCAACATGGGTGGGCACTATCCAATCGGCTGCTAGCACGGCTAGAACAAAGCAGGTGGAAGAAGGTGTTATAACCTTGCTTGCCTGCCGAGTCTTCTGATTTCCTTCTTTTTCCTAAGCCAGATGCTTCCTTCCACTCTTTCTGCCCTTGGACATCAGAATCCAGATTCTTTGGCCTTTGGACTCTAGGACTTGCATCAGTGGCTTCCTGGGGGCTCTCAGACCTTCAGCCACAGACTGAAGCCTGCACTGTGAGTTTCCCGGGTTTTGAGGCTTTTAGACTTGAACTGAGCCACTACTGGCTTCCCAGCTTGCAGATGGCCTAACACGATGGGACTTTGCCTTGTAATTGTGCGAGCCAATTCTCCCCAATAAACATCCTTTCATATATACATATATCCTATTAGTTCTGTCCCTCTGGAGAACCGTGACTAATACAGTAAGCATGGATCATAAACGGTGAATTTGGAAGTACTGAGGGAGTCAGATCATGAAAGACCTTGGAAGACCTGCTAGCCTATATACATTTTGATTTTAAGCAGGGAATTAACATAATTAGTGGGTTATAAGGGGGATAGGAGTACAAGTGAGACAAGGAGACAAGCTGGGAGACTGTTGTAGTAATGCAGATGAGAAGGAGCAGTAGGAATAGACAGAAGTGCTGGAGTCAAGCCATAGTTAGGAGACAGAATGGAGAGGACCTGATGTGGGAGGGTGAGTGGAAAGAGGAATATCAGGAATGATGCCCAGTTTTCTGTTTGTAGTAACTGAATGAGTGTTGATGCAATTCACTGTGACAGAAAATAAATGAGTAGGAATAAATTTAGGGGGAAACAATGTTTCATTTTAGACAGATCATATTATAGATCTATGAGGCATCCTGCAGGATCTGGGAACAGATTACCAAGTCAGATTTTTCAGGCAAGACCGGCCAGTGGGATCTGCGCCCTGAAGAAGAACTAAGCTGCCTCTTAGATCCCCAATATTCCAAGGAAAACCTCTGAGCAAAAGGTCCCCTTTGCTGCCTTGATCTTATTTGAGGTCTGAGCTTCTTTCCTGCAAATCTTTGGCTTAAGATGTAGCAATGATATCTAAAGTGCTGAAGACTCCAATCCAGTCTCCACCCTGGGAGTACGTGGAGACCTCCTCTTCACTTAGATGTGTGACCAAGCACAGGGATTGCTGCTGATTCAGTCTAGTCACTCTAAAAAGTATCACTCGAGAGCTGAATATTTAGCCCTTTTGTTAGAAGTGAATGGTTGCATCTTGTGTGTGATGGGTGCATAATATTTACCAGTGTGGTAAATATCTGGTATTGTCTGTGCACTATTTTCCAACCATTTTTCACATAGGTACGTTTAAAGATTTTTTGCCTTCCTAATAATTTTTGTTGTCATTGCTATTTTGCCTTCAGAAAAAAAAATAGAAAAAGAAAAATGTGATTAATATGGCCCCATTCAAATCATGAAGCAGGAGCTGCCATTGTGAAAGCTATATAGATGGACTCAGGCACCTAATGCCAATGTAAACCAGGGAGGCTACCTGCTATGCCTAAAAGAGTACTGGAATTGGAAGCAGGGCACCTGCCTTCAAGTCCCAGGTTTTCATTCACTAGAAGGTCCCTTTGGCAAGTCACTTATCTCCCTTGGGTCTTACTGGCCTTATCTGAAAAATGGGCAGATCATTGTAGTCACTGCTGCATCACAGGGCCATTTGCAGATTACAAAAAGTCCAAGTAAAGGGCTATAGAAACCAGAATTACATCCCATATGCTCCAATCTTAGACTCCCAGGCTTTGGTTCCAGACCAAACATCTTTCATCTACTCTTTCTCCTAAAGTTAACATTGCCTTCAGCTGCTGTGGCTACATTCTTAATTTTTTAAGAAAGATCATTGTTTTCTCTTACAGTGCATAGTATGGGACTGGGACTCCAATGGCAAGCATGACTTCATTGGAGAATTCACCTCGACATTCAAGGAGATGAGAGGAGCAATGGAAGGGAAACAGGTACATGGTCAACCACTTTTGGTTTTGCCTCCAGTCGGTATGATGCATCCTTAGAACACAGCTACCAATGAAACAGCAAGAGGCAAAACATCAATGTATGATTAAGTGTGATAAGAAGGGAGCATGGTAGGATGTGAGTATCTAGATTCTAGAACTAGCCCAACCCAAAGCAATTGTGTGTGCTTGGACAAGACACTGACCCCAAACGTTACAGTTTCTCCATTAGTAAAACAGAAAGGTTAGATGAGAGTATTTCTAACTTCCTTTACCTGTGTAGCCCTGAAAAGTGACTTAATCTCTCCATGCCTCATTTTGCTCATCTAAAAATATAAGAGTGATAATTGTACCTACCTCATAGAATTTTGTGAAGATTAAATGAGACAATCCTAGGTGATAGCAGAGCGCCTAGCACATAGCTAGCATTTCCAAAATATCTGCTATTAACAGTAGTATTCCTTCTAGGTCTATATTTCCATGATTTGGTGACATTAATAATACTTTCATGCCTTGGAGAAATTATTTGAATCCTCCAAATTTTCATATAGGTACCAGGTTTTCTTCTAGTTCCATCATTTTACTCTTACACATTTGATGCCAAGACCTGTACACAAGCACTACCACATACCACTAAGACACACTGTCCCACACAGAAACCCAAACCCCTTCTGTGTTTCCCTCAGATACACACACTTTCATATCATATAATATCTAGACAGACAGACAGACAGACAGACAGACAGACAGACAGACAGACAGATAGAGATAGAAAGTCATCTGGGCCCAAATCATGCAACTTCTCCTTTTACCTGTTTATTGTTCACCTGCCCAATTTCCAGCTGAAATACCTCTTTGCCTGGCAGATTTCTCTATCTGCTGGAGCCTGTTTTATCCATGCCCAAAAGCAAGATAGAAGTGTGGAAGGAGATGTAACAGGAGGTAGCCCTCAACAAATAACTAATGGAAGTTGGGATATAAATACCCCAGCTCCCTTGCCCTTCAGTTGGCAAAACTCTGAGGTGTATGCTCTATACAGTTTCCCAGAGTTCTCCAGCAGGCCCTAGTTATCCACAGTGGTAACTGACTTGATAATGCACCCTTTCTGGGATGCCTCTTCTATCTAATTTCTCACTCCTCTATTCATGCTTCCTGGTATCACCTCCCAGATGGCCTACTTGCACTTATATTCTTGCCTCAAATTTGCTTCTTGGGGAACTCAACCCAAGACACCTGCCGTTCTTACTCTGGAGTTCACTGTCCTCATGGAGCAGAAAGGAGTGAAAGCAGAGGGCTCAGTGCTTTTGAGAAAGTCTTTTTCTTTAGAGATAATACTCTGTGCCTGTTCTGATCAGAAGTGCTAATTAGAGATGCCTCAACTCATTTTTCAGCTCTCTCATATGTAAGGTCAGGATACAGTCAGACTGGATGGAAATGAACTAACATTTTTTTAGAGTCAGAAACTTAATCTGAATGATACCATTTGTTGAACACATACCTTTGGTCTGGAAACTCAATGGAAACAATGGCAGCTTTCCACTTAGTTCCTGCAAAACCTGCTGTAAATGCTCTGTTAGGTACTCAGCATTACAAGAAACTTGTCAAACACCCAGAGACCATCACCCACAAGCCAGGATGCAGAGTTTCAGAGCCACAGTTAAAACCAACACTAAATTATAAGCAAAGTCATTCCCAAGATAACAAGGAATATAGCTAGAGAATATTGCTCTATTGAATATGCAGAACTAGTCCTATTTAGCTGCTAAATCAATGATAGCATTCATACCACCTGCTAGAGTTCTAAAAAGTTTTATAAAGTTTTGCCTTATCCACTTCTATGAATAGAAATAGTCCAAGCAGTAAATATGGGAAATATTTCATCTTATTAATTAAATATTAAAAGTAAGAATGTAACACATATCATAAATGAAATATACCAAAACCTAATGCTTTCAAACAGAGAGAAATCGTTTAAGTTCCACTGAGGAAATGGACCATATGCTAATGTGCTTTTCTGAATCACTGAGCTACCAGAAAAACTTTAGTTTAACTACCCAGCCACTGTTTTGGTGTAGTTATACAGTGGGAAATATTGTCTTATTTATTGTTTCTACAATATTTATCGAGTAGCACCTAGTAAATTCCAAGCACTGTGACAGGCTCTAAATGCACCATGACTAACAATGCTGACATGGTCCCTGCCCTTCTGAAGCTTACAGATTGGTGGGAGTCAGGATAGAATGTAAACACAAATTTAAAAAGTTAAAATGCAACTACAATTTGTGACAAATGCTATTACAAAACTAAACCAGTTTCATTATAAAAGTGTGCATATAGAAAAGATAATCTGACATTTAAGTTGAGGCCCCTTAATGATTAAAAAGAAGCCAATATGTAATGAGTGAGAGAAACGCATTTGAAGTAAAAGGAATAGTAGTGCAAAGTACAGAGGCAGGGCTGAGCTTGGTGTGATTGAGGACCTGGAAAAAGACCAGTGTATCTGAAGCAGAGAGTGAAAGAACCATTCATAGGATGTGGTCAGATATAGAGGCAGAGGCCAGGAAAAGCAGATTCTTCTAAATGTGATAAGAGCATGTGCAAGCTGTGCTTTCCTATACATTAGCCACTAGCTACATGTGGCTATTTAAATTTAAATTAATTAAAATAAAATTAAATAACAAGTTAAGTTCCTCAGTCATGCTAGCCACATTTCAAATACTCAATAGTCTCATGTGGCTGGTGGCTACTATATTTGATAGTGCAGATTCAGAATATTCCAATTATTGAGAAAATTCTACTGGACAGTGCTGCAAAGTGTTCTAGCTAGAGAATGACATGATTGGTTTTAATTTTTTAAAATATTACTTTTGCTACTGTGTAGATAATTAAAGAGAGACAAGGGAGATCTGTTAGGAGGCTACCACTATAGATAAGAGGTGATAATGACTTGGGTTAAGGAACTAGTCATAGAGATAGATAAATTGGAGAGACTTAAGACATATTTTGGAGATATGAGCTACAAGGTTTGTTGAAGGCTTGGATATAGGGAGTAAGGGAAGGAGGAAATGGTTGACTCAAGGATAGATTATTAAATTGTGCCATTTCCTGAGGTAAGGAAGAATTGTGGT